>NW_021160024.1:307535-461303 GCF_000001405.40 Homo sapiens | reverse complement strand
GAATTCTGTCAAATTCTTTTCTGCATCTATTGAGGTGATCATATGGTTTTGTCCTTTATTCTGTTAATATAGTTTATTACATTGATTTTTGGATGTTAAGTCAACCTCACATTCCTGAGATAAACTTCATTTGATTATGGTATAAAATCCTTTTCATATGTTGCTCAATTACATTTGCTAATATTTGGTTAAGAATTTTTATGTCTATGTTCACAAGGGATATTGGTATATAGCTGTGTTTTCTTGTAATGTCTTTGTCTTGTTTTGATATCAGGGTAATATTGATATCAAATGAAATAAAGTTAGTTGGGAAGTTTCCTTCATCCTCTATTTGCTGAATAAAGTTTTTGTAACATTGGTATTATTTCCTCCCTTAATAGTTTGATAGAATTCACCAGTGAAGTATATTTTTTCTCTATAGGAAGATTTGAAATTACTGATGCAATTTCTTTACTTGATATTGGTATTTGTTTTTTTTTCTTTTTCCTTGAGTCAGTTTTGGTAATTTGTGTCTTTCTAGGAATTGTTCTATTTTATCTAAGTTGTCAAATTTTTTGCCTTAAAGTTATTATGCTATTTTCTTAACATCCTTTTAAGGGTAGGGTCTGTGGTGATATTTCTCTTTGATTCTTGATTTTGGGAATTAGTGTCTTCTTTCTTTTTTCTTGGTCAATTTAACTAAATATTATTTATCTCTTGACTTTCTGAAATAAGCAATTTTGGGTTTCTTTGGTTGTTTTTAATGTTATCCTGTTCTGTATTTATCGTTTTCCACTGTGACATTTTTATTTCATTCATCCTACTTACTTTCGGCTTGGTTTACTCATCTTCTTCTAGAGTCTTAAGATGGAAGTTTTAATTATCAATTTTAGATTATTTTTTCTTTCTGTTTTTAAAGCTATACATTGTCCTCTATACACTGCTTTAACTGCATCCTGTAAATATTGCTATGTTATTTTTTTTTGTATTTTAAGTTTATAACATTTTATTTATAAAAATAAGCTGGGGGAAAAGGATTTATACCACTGCATTCTTTCCTGGGGGAGAACTATTTTGGGCCATTTTTGAAATTTTTTTTCCTCTTAACAATTTTCAGAGTCACATTTGAATTCCTTCAGAATGGTATTTGTCAACAAAAAAGTTCAAGTGAAAAGGAGGAGGGAAACTGGGGAAGCATGAAGAAAGGGAGTGAGAGAAGGAGGAGTGGGCATACAACAGTCAACACATAAAGAAATGGCTTTTACTGAAATGACTCTGCCCTGTGCCTCATGCACTAGGTGGTGCAAGCATGCTGCTCAGACATCAACACCAAATGTCATTTAGAAATGGTAGTCTTCTCTGGGTTCTGAAGGACACTTGTTCCCCAACATGACACTATTAAATGATGCTTTCAAGGCAGACACTAAGACATTATTCCAAAGAGAAGGCTCTGGTGGCAGACGCTGGGGCCATATTCTTTATAGTCCTTCTTGGTGTGACAGACCTGAAATAACTCCAGAGTTGAGGCTAGCATTAAGCTTCCAAACCATAAGGCATAGTGCTGCATGTGATTGATTACCACCCGAACCTTTGTAAGCTTAGGTTTGATTCTCCTGCCACTGAGCTCCTTATTGAGTTTTAATCTGGCATGTACCACTCTTCAAATCTCTCTGTAGTTGAGATTCAAATCCCTGAATATGGTCAAACCCCTTGAAAGAACAACATTCTTATACAGTGGACAATGCACATCAATGGGACAGTTTTGTATTCATCAACAACATTCAAGATGGATTCCATAAAGTCTGGGTTGGCAAACTCTGGGTAAAAAAATATTTCAGGTTGCAGGAACCTTTTGTAACCAACGTCTATTATGAACTTCTCCTGGTTGATCACATTGATACCTGTGTACTGTTTGATCCACTTCCAGGGATCCACATCATACTTAGCAAATTCCTTGACTATATCAGGGCAAATGTAACAGTATTTCTCCTTAATGGCTTTTGTGTTCTCCAGTGACTGCTCAAGAGGGATTCCTACCTCCCTCTCCCTTAGCAGCTGTTGAATGAAATACACAGTATCACCTACAATCAGGATGTGATTGATGCAGCTCCCAATTACATAACCTTCTACAACTGGGAGAACAAGGGTGACTCCATCTCCTTTGTCAATGACTATACTCATTAACATATATTCACCCACTTGTTGAGATGTCCAAGATACTTCCAGGGCTAGTACCTCCTGAACTGCAATGTAGAATCCTGGTACATTAAATAATTCGAACATAATTTCTGCAAAAATGCTCTGTATTTTCTAGTGTATTCAGTGGAAGTTCTGTCATTAAAAAATAATGGTCCTCAGATTCTGCTCAAAGACATTTAAAAACCACTTGCTCCATGAACCTTTCCATAATATCCCAGTCTTCAGTGATTCCATGTCATATTGACCACTTTGTAGCATACATAGATTTATCAATGGCTTCATCCTGTATGAAAAAGTCCAGGTCATCAACTCCCCTCAACATTCTCCCTTGGGCTTTGTCAACTACCTTTGCTGACTCTCTGATAGAAATGCATGAAAGAATAGTAAACTATGGCTCAGTGTTGCCTGTATAGCCAAGCTCGGAATATCTACTGAGGTGATCACAGGGCTGAGACCCAGAGCAGTGGGTGCAGCTCAATCTCCAGGTGTGGGCTGGATGTCAGGGGCTGAGAACAAGGCAATGGAGGAGCCAGGGTGGGCACTGAGTGGCTGTTACCTGATGCCACAGTCTGCCACACAGGAAGGCAGGAACCCCACCATGCTTGGAATACACAACACTTAGCCCCACTGGCCACCCTGGAGCACCCTGCCACCATCCACTTGGCAACCCACTCACCCCATACACCCTGTCTCCTGTGTGTTTCCACTTTTATTCATTTTAAGATATATTGTAGATGGGTGCAGCAAACCACATGGCACGTGTATACCTATGTAACAAACCTGCACGTTCTGCACATGTATCCCAGAACTTAAAGTACAATAAATTTTAAAAAAGGAATATTTTAAAGGATCAACCTACTATTTGACAGTCATGGAAATAGTGAATGGGAATTAAAGGGAAAAAAAATAAGTAAGCAAAGGAAGGGAGGAGGAAAGGGAAAAAGAAAGGAAAGAAAAGGAAAAGAGAAATACAAGAAAAGGAGACAAATAAATAAATAAATAAACAAATAAGTGACTGAAAGTCTGAGAGTTGGCAAATACTATTCAGACAACACTGACAAAATAGGCCTCTTGCTAAAAATAGCAGAATGCACAAAATACAGGAGCAGCCTGTCTGTCCTGAGAGGCTGGGGAGGTTTAGGAAAAGAGGCTGGGGAGATTTGAGACAGGTCTGAAGTATGCAGTTAGTTTTTGCTTGGTGGAAAAAGTAATCATGGGTGATTCAGAAAAAGGAAAATACTTACATAATAGTTATTTTGTACCTTTTTTAGTCTTCTATTACTTTCATAAAATTATCTTTGCATCAAAAGTTATTAACACTTTCAGGACTCCTTGTATGCAAAATTCTTTGAATTGCATTTCTTAATTTGTGATCGCACTGGTAATTTATCTAGCACAATGAACTGAATGTGTGTCTTTATGTTTAAAGGGAAAAATAAAATTCAAAACAGCATATTTGATATAATTTATGATTAGATAATAGAGAAATATCAATTTTAATATAATTTTTAGAAAGTAAAGATTAGGCCAGTCATAATGGATCATGCCTGTAATCCCAGGACTTTGGGAGGCTGAGGCGGGTGGATCACCTGAGGTCAGGTGTTCAAGACCAGCCTGACCAACATGGAGAAACTCTGTCTCTACTAAAAATACCAAATTAGCCGGTGCTAATGATTCATGAGAAATCTGCCCCCATGATCCATTCACCTCCCAGCAGGACCTATCTCCAATTTTGGGGATTACAATTCAACATGAGATTTGGGCAGGGACACATATCCAAACTATATCAACAGAGTTTCATTGTGTTGCTTGGGCTAGTCTCAAACTCCTAGCCTCAAGCAATACTTCTATCTCAGCCTCCCAAGTACCTTTGGGGATTATAATAATCAATCATCTTCACTTTTTACAATCTACTTTGGTTTAATAATTTTTACTTAATTCCAGTGTTATATAGCAACTTTGATCCAATGTATCTCTTATATGCTATGAACTCAGCAGTATTGTTATAGTTATTGCCTATAATAATCAGATGCTTTTTTAAAAAAAGAGATGAAATCAGAATACACACACACACACACATACAATCTTTTATACTTACAAATTTATTTACCATTTCCCATGCCGTTTATTCCTTATAGGTTCAAGTTGCCATGTGGTGTCATATTCTTTTATCTTAAAATCATTTTCTTTAGTGTTTCTTTAGCAAGGATAAGTTCTTTTTATTTTTATTTATCTGGAAATGTCTTTATTTCAGCTCCATTTTTGAAGGATCATTTAACTGGATACAGAATTCTTAATTGACAGTAATTTTTCCCTCCACTTTTGAAATGTCGCCTCATAAGGCCTCCATTTTTTTCAGATAAAAATGCCAGTATTGATAATATTATTGTTCCCCTGTATGTGATAAGTCATCTCTTGCTACTTTCATGATTTTCTTATTATCCTTGGTTTTCACCAATTTGACAAGGATGGCTCTAGGTGTGAATCTCTTTGTGTTTATCCTACTCGAGATTTGTTTGCCTTCTTATATCTGAAGATTAATGTTTTACATAGCATTTTTCAAGTTTTCAGACATTATGTTTTCAAATATTTTTCTGCCCTCTTATCTCTCTCTTCTCCTGGAATCCCCATTATGCATATGTTAGTGCTCTTGATGGTATCCCATAAGTTTCTGAGGATCTGTTTATTATCCTTCATTCTTTTTTCTTTTTGTTCTTCAGATTGATTAACCTCTATTGGTCTATCTTCAAGGTCACTGATACTTTCTTTCACAAGGTCAAATATGCTATTGAACCTCGCTAGTGATTTTTTCACTTTAACTGTTGTACTTTTCAATTCTAGATTCTATTTTTAAACATATTCTGTCTCCTTATTCACATTCTCTACTAGACAGCACATTATCATATTTTTAATTTGAACATATTTATAATATATACTTTGAAAACTTTCTTTCTAAATCCAATATCTGAATTGAGACAGTTTCTATTCACTGCTTTTTTTTCCAGAGTATGAGCCATATTTTCCTGTTTCCTTACATGTCTGATAATTTTTAATTGAAAACTAAACTCTTTAATTACACATTATAGCAAATCTGGATTTGGTTTTTATTTGTTATTGTCTTTGTTGTTGTTCTGTTTTGGTAATTGGCTTATACTTGTGCTGTGTAATCCTTCTGCCCAGTGTTTTTCAGCATTGATGTCTTTTATATTGTGTTGTTGTTGTTATTGTTGTTTTAGCCTGTCTTTCTAGGGATTTCCTTTGTGTCTGTTGCATAGCTTGATTTTGGAGAGACATTATATTAAAGCTAGTAAGGCTTTCACTCTCTGCCAAATAATCTATGGGTGGGTGGGTGAATGCATTCAAAGTTGCAATTAATACTCAAGTCTTACTTCATTTTTACTTTTTGTCATACTCTCTTGAGTCTTTCCTGCACTTCCATACTTTTCCAATTGGCCATATGTGTGGAGAACTTTTCTCAAACTTTCGGAATCATCTCCTGTGGAGTTACAAGGATGTGTTTCTCTTTCCCAGCATGAAATTTTGACAGCACATGTGCAATGTCATCTACCAGGACCAGAGTCTCATTAGAGACTCAGTACTCAGGATTTTATGGAAGTTACTCTCCTTCACATGTGCCAGAATTCCAGACTCCCAGAGGAAGAGCAGCTGTTCAGAGTAAACCACATTGTTTGTATAAACAGTTTAGGCAGAGTGAGCCACTCTTCTCAGTGAGAGAATTGGAACTTGGAACTGGAAAAGTCTAGCCTTGCATGTGGGTCTTTCTTTTCTTTTCTTTTCTTTTCTTTCTTTCTTTCTTTCTTTCTTTCTTTCTTTCTTTCTTTCTTTCTTTCTTTCTTTCTTCTTTCTTTCTTTCTTTCTTTCTTTCTTTCTTTCTTTCTTTCTTTCTTCTTTCTTTCTCTCTTTCTCTCTCTTTCTTTCTTCCTCTTTCTTCCTTTGTTTCTTTCTCTCTTTCTTTCTTTCTTTTTTAATTTTACTTTGAGTTCCAGGATACATGTGCAGAACATTCAGGTTTGTTACACAGGTATACATGTGCCATGGTGGTTTGCTGCACCTATTGACCCTCAGGATCTCTCATTTAAATTTTTGTCTTGTCTTCCACCTCCCCAATTGAAACTGCAACCTCAGACTAGCAAATCTGCAATTCTCTCTGTTCATTCCCAAACCACTCTGCTGTATTTAACTGGCAAAACCATTGATTTCTTCCCTCTACTCCATACCAAATCCACCCGTGCCCCCAGCCCTAACAGGAAAGCTGCTGGGTTTTACATCCAGCTTCAAACTGGTCAAACTAGTTTTTCCCAACTGAGGTTGGGGGTGAGAAGAGAGATGGGAGTGTATTAGTCCGTTTTCATTCTGCTGTTAAAGACATACCCAGGACTGGGAAGAAAAAGAGGTTTAATTGGACTTATAGTTCCAGGTGGCTGAGGAGACCTCAGAATCATGGCGGGAGGTGAAAGGCACTTCTTACATGGTGGCGGCAAGAGAAAATGAGGAAGATGCAAAAGCAGAAACTCCTGATAAAGCCATCAGATCTTGTGAGACTTATCCACTACCACGAGAACAGTATGGGGGGGGAGCCACCCCCATAATTTAATTATCTCCCACCAGGTCCCTCCCACAACACATAGGAATTATGGGAGTACAATTCAAGATGAGATTTGCATGGGGACACAAAGCCAAACCATATCAGGGAGCAACCCCAGTCAGGAAGGGCTCAGACTTTTACCAAACCTACCCAAAACCCTAACACTTTTTTCAAGAATAAATGCTTCTTAAATTTGATAACTGCCTTTGATGAGTTTTCAGGGTCCTGAAATGATTGTTTTTGGTATTTCTGCAATTTCTGGGGGGAGTTTTGGTGTGGAAATAAATTGCCAACCTTTTCATGTCACCTCCCAACCTTATTTTTATATCCTCTGATTAACAATTTTCGTTAGTAATGTGTTACACAACAAATACCTGTTTAGACTAACCTACATTTTACCAATTTCTTTGCACATTGTTCCATCTTTTTTGGTTCTATGTCATATTTCTAAAGCATATCTTTCAGTAGATTTTTCCCTGGTAAAAAATGGCATATGTTCTTAAATGTGTTTGTTTGACAATATCTTTCATTTGTCTTTTGTTCGAGTGAAAGTTAACTGACTGCAGAATTCAACATTGAATGTTTTATTTATCTCTGTACTTTGAAGACTTTATTTAATTATCTTCCATCTTCTATTGTTGCTGATAAGAATTGAGAATCTGCTCTATTGTTTATTCAATTATGATTAATCTCTCTTTCTCTGTCTAGATTATTTAAGATTTTATTTTTGCCTTTGGTAGTCTATAGTTTCTCAACATTTTATCTAAGTATCTATTTTTACTTAATCGTGATTAGAACTCATTTGACTTCCTGTGTCCAAATCAATAAAAACCCTAATCAATTCTGTAAAATTTGAAGCCAGTTTTCTTCTCAAATATTACATCTTCTTCATTCTTTCAATTATGTTTCTGAAACTACCATTAGTTGTGTTTTAGATCTTTTCCATAATCTAAATCTCTCATTTTCCACCTCGTTTTTTTTTGTGTGTGCTATGCTCTTAAATAATTTCCTCATATCTACTACTTTGCTGTGTTCTCTCTTCAGCTTTGTCTAGATTGCTATTTGTGTACTTAGTGGGTTTTTTTTCAGTTGAGTAAATTTTAAAGTTTTTTCTAGGTGTTCTATTTAATTATTTTACAATACTTTCTTTTTTTTTATTATACTTTAAGTTTTAGGGTACATGTGTACATTGTGCAGGTTAGTTACATATGTATATATGTGCCATGCTGGTGCGCTGCACCCACTAACTCGTCATCTAGCATTAGGTATATCTCCCAATACTATCCCTCCCCCCACCCCACAACAGTCCCCAGAGTGTGATATTCCCCTTCCTGTGTCCATGTGATCTCATTGTTCAATTCCCACCTATGAGTGAGAATATGCGGTGTTTGGTTTTTTGTTCTTGTGATAGTTTACTGAGAATGATGGTTTCCAGTTTCATCCATGTCCCTACAAAGGACATGAACTCATCATTTTTTATGGCTGCATAGTATTCCATGTTGTATATGTGCCACATTTTCTTTTTTTTTTTTTTTAATTTTTTTTTTTTATTATACTTTAAGTTTTAGGGTACATGTGCACATTGTGCAGGTTAGTTACATATGTATACATGTGCCATGCTGGTGCGCTGCACCCACCAACGTGTCATCTATCATTAGGTATATCTCCCACTGCTATCCCTCCCCCCTCCCCCGACCCCACCACCGTCCCCAGAGTGTGATATTCCCCTTCCTGTGTCCTTGTGATCTCATTGTTCAATTCCCACCTATGAGTGAGAATATGCGGTGTTTGGTTTTTTGTTCTTGCGATAGTTTACTGAGAATGATGGTTTCCAATTTAATCCATGTCCCTACAAAGGACATGAACTCATCATTTTTTATGGCTGCATAGTATTCCATGGTGTATATGTGCCACATTTTCTTAATCCAGTCTATCATTGTTGGACATTTGGGTTGGTTCCAAGTCTTTGCTATTGTGAATAATGCTGCAATAAACATACGTGTGCATGTGTCTTTATAGCAGCATGATTTATAGTCATTTGGGTATATACCCAGTAATGGGATGGCTGGGTCAAATGGTATTTCTAGTTCTAGATCCCTGAGGAATCGCCACACTGACTTCCACAATGGTTGAACTAGTTTACAGTCCCACCAACAGTGTAAAAGTGTTCCCATTTCTCCACATCCTCTCCAGCACCTGTTGTTTCCTGACTTTTTAATGATTGCCATTCTAACTGGTGTGAGATGATATCTCATAGTGGTTTTGATTTGCATTTCTCTGATGGCCAGTGATGATGAGCATTTTTTCATGTGTTTTTTGGCTGCATAAATGTCTTCTTTTGAGAAGTGTCTGTTCATGTCCTTCGCCCACTTTTTGATGGGGTTGTTTTTTTCTTGTAAATTTGTTTGAGTTCATTGTAGATTCTGGATATTAGCCCTTTGTCAGATGAGTAGGTTGGGAAAATTTTCTCCCATGTTGTAGGTTGCCTGTTCACTCTGATGGTAGTTTCTTTTGCTGTGCAGAAGCTCTTTAGTTTAATTAGATCCCATTTGTCAATTTTGGCTTTTGTTGCCATTGCTTTTGGTGTTTTGGACATGAAGTCCTTGCCCACGCCTATGTCCTGAATGGTAATGCCTAGGTTTTCTTCTAGGGTTTTTATGGCTTTAGGTCTAACGTTTAAATATTTAATCCATCTTGAATTGATTTTTGTATAAGGTGTAAGGAAGGGATCCAGTTTCAGCTTTCTACATATGGCTAGCCAGTTTTCCCAGCACCATTTATTAAATAGGGAATCCTTTCCCCATTGCTTGTTTTTCTCAAGTTTGTCAAAGATCAGATAGTTGTAGATATGCTATGTGCCACATTTTCTTAATCCAGTCTATCATTGTTGGACATTTGGGTTGGTTCCAAGTCTTTGCTATTGTGAATAATGCCGCAATAAACATACGTGTGCATGTGTCTTTATAGCAGCATGATTTGTAGTCATTTGGGTATATACCCAGCAATGGGATGGCTGGGTCAAATGGTATTTCCAGTTCTAGATCCCTGAGGAATCGCCACACTGACTTCCACAATGGTTGAACTAGTTTACAGTCCCACCAACAGTGTAAAAGTGTTCCTATTTCTCCACATCCTCTCCAGCACCTGTTGTTTCCTGACTTTTTAATGATTGCCATTCTAACTGGTGTGAGATAATATCTCATAGTGGTTTTGATTTGCATTTCTCTGATGGCCAGTGATGATGAGCATTTTTTCATGTGTTTTTTGGCTGCATAAATGTCTTCTTTTGAGAAGTGTCTGTTCATGTCCTTTGCCCACTTTTTGATGGGGTTGTTTGTTTTTTTCTTGTAAATTTGTTTGAGTTCATTGTAGATTCTGGATATTAGCCCTTTGTCAGATGAGTAGGTTGCGAAAATTTTCTCCCATGTTGTAGGTTGCCTGTTCACTCTGATGGTAGTTTCTTTTGCTGTGCAGAAGCTCTTTAGTTTAAATAGATCCCATTTGTCAATTTTGGCTTTTGTTGCCATTGCTTTTGGTGTTTTGGACATGAAGTAATTTCTTCTTCTCATGTCTCCAATTTTTAAAAATTGTCTCTAGTCTCTTTGAAAATACATATTTTATAGTGTCTATCTAGTGGTTCTATTAGCTGAGGTTTTTAGACATCTAATCCCATTCTTTGTTGTATCTGTTAACTTTTGCTCATGGAATATTTCTTCTTATTTTAAGTTCAGATTCACTTGGCTTTACCTTTGAGACTTTATGCAGTCTGGGATCAGGAGTGTCTATTAGAGATTTTTTGAATTAGCATCTACTAAGTGTTCTAGGGATACTTCTATGCAGGGACACTTTTATGGTAGGTTTAGAACTTTGGGATCCCTAACCTGTGCACGTAATATAATTTGAGCCCTACGCATAAGTTGGATGAGGCCAGTTTTACATATGAATTCTCAAAAAAGACTTGGCCGCACAGAGACCAGCTAAGACAAACTGCCTTGTCTTCTCAATTTGTCAGTAGGATGACATTTTCTGGTCCGTGTTTTTTATTTTATTTTTTTGTTTTGTTTTGTTTTTTTTTTCTTGAGATGGAGTTTTGCTCTTGTTACCCAGGCTGGAGGGAAGTGGCGCCATCTCAGCTCACTACAATGTCCGCCTCCTGGGTTCAAGCAATTCTCCTACCTCAGCCTCCCAAGTAGCTGGGATTACAGGCATACACAACCAGGCCAGGCTAATTGTCTGTATTTTTAATAGAGACAGCGTTTCACCGTGTTGGTCAGGCTCATCTTGAACTCCTGACCTCGGGTGATCCACCCGCCTCGGCCTCCCAAAGTGCTGGGATTACAGGCGTGAGCCACCATGCCCAGCCTGGTCCATTATTTTAGTAAGAGTTTAGCCCTCCAAGGCTTCCAGTTTTGCAGGATGACAATAATCAGACGGGAGGAGGAAAGAAACTTTGTTCTAACTTTCTGCCTGGAGTGAGTCAAAATCCTCCTCTTCTACCCTGGCAAATTCTATACAGCCAGAAAGGGATCATAGCTAAAAAATTCATGTAAGCTGTTTTAAGAATATTAAAAGCATTAGCAATTATGATTCATGGCAAATAAAGGTAGCCATTTAATTAGCAAATGGAAATTTACCATGTTATTGTCTGTCCTTTACAGAAACCTGTGGATTCCTCAGTGAGTAGCACCTAGTTGCCAGAAACAAGATGTCTAGTAACTTATACCTACTCATCTTAATCTACCTCTACCTCCTACACATAATCTAAGATACTTTATATTTATTCCCACAAAATCTAGGTTCATTTCTTCCAGCCATTACCTCCTATAATACATTTATGCCAAATATCAGTTGAATTATCCTTTCAATAAAAAGATTTAGCAGGTTCCTGTTAAAAGATTTGGCACCTTGACACTGTGATCTTCAATAAGGTTGTGAATTCTTATCACAGCCAATCATCCTCTTATTTTCCATCCTGATGAAAAAGCTATTTTAAAATATAAAATGAAGTAAATCTCATCATATTGCCATGATGTTTTTAACTATCATATATTATAAGTTAGCATTTTCAAGAGTTCACATATAGGTTTTTTTTTAATTTTTTTAATTTTTTTATTGAGACTGAGTCTCACTCTGTCACCCAGGCTGGAGTGCAGTGGCACAATCTTGGCTCACTGCAACCTCCACCTCCTGGGTTCAAGCAATTCTCCTGACTCAGCCTCCCATGTAGCTGGGATTACAGGCATGCACCACCACGCATGGCTAATTTTTGTGTTTTTAGTAGAAACGGGATTTCACTGTGTTGGCCAGGCTGGTCTCAAACTCCTGACCTCATGTGATCCAGCCTGCCTCAGCCCCCCAAAGTGCTGGGATTAAGGCGTGAGCCACTGCACCTGGCCCACATATAGTTTTTAAATATTTTTAAAGTGAAAACACTTTGTTTAAAACCTACTTCATAAATTGACAGGTTATTTGGAATATATGTTAAGCAGATATCTCTTTCACCAAACTAGTAAGCAATGTTGATCTATACCATGTATCATTTTATAGAACTGGCTATTAGTATATATGATAAAAGAGAATTGATCCTTTGTTTGTATACATCTATGTGTATGTAGATATATAGCTGTACACTTCTTTGTATTTCAGGAGTTACACTGTTTGTGATATGGTGTATGACCTGGTCAATCTTAGGCTCTGAAGCTCTCCCTGGTGGAAATTTATTTGGATTGTTAATTATTTTTTATAGTGCCATTAGTGGGGGAAAAATTTTACAACTCATTAGAATACCTTTAGTGCCTCCACTTCCACCTCTTCTTGGTAAGTATATAATTAGCTCTCTTTTCTTTATTATTGACTATATGCAAATTTTGAACATTTTCTTGTTGAATTAGTTATAATTCAGAAATATTTCAATGTAGTATGTTTTATATAGTTTCTTCATGTGTGTGTGTGTGTGTACAGCTCCTTTATAGGGGCATTTATTTCTCTCTCTGTCTACATATATACACACACAAGTTTTATCCAAAATTTATTTTTAAAGTAAATTTAATATCCTTAGTACATTATTCCTGTTGCTTTATTGTTTAATAGAATCTTTAAAAATTTTAGATAAATGGAGTACATGTGCAGGTTTGGTACATGGATATATTGCATAATGGTGAGATTTGGGCTCTAGTGAACCCATCAGCAAACAGTGAATACTATACCCAATAGGTAATTTTTCAACCTTAACCCTCCAACGCTCTCTCCTTTTGGACTCCCCAGTGTCTATTATTTACATCTTTATGTCCATATGTACCCATTGTTTAGCTCCCACATATAAGTGAGAACATGTGGTATTTGATTTTTCTGTTTCTGAGTTATTTCACTTAGGATAATGGTGTTCAGCTCTATCCATGTTGCTGCAAAGGACATGATGCCATTCTTTTTTATGACTGCATAGTATTCCATGGTGTATATGTACCACATTTTCTTTATTTAGTCATTTAAGTTGATTCCATGTCTTTTTATTGTGAATAGTGCCACAATGAACATATGTGTGTATATGTCTTTATGGAAGAATGATTCACATGTTGAACCATCCTTGTATTTCTGGAGTAAAACCCACTTAACTATATTATCTTTTTGATGTACTATTGAATTCATTTTGCTAGTTGAGAATTTTTGCATCTATGTTCATCAGGGATATTGACCAGTTGTGTGTGTGTGTGTGTGTGTGTGTGTATGGCTTTGCCTGATTTGGGTACAATTGTGATACTAGATTCATAGAATGTGTTAGGGAGGGAGTCCCTCCTTGATTTTTTTGGATTGAGTTTCAGTCACCTTTGACCCTGAACTAGCATTCTAGTGGATTGTACAATGACCCTGAACTAGTGGATTGTACAATGAATAAATGAATGAATATAAATTATTGTAAAATAAAATTTTGTTAAGTATATGATAACCATACAAATGCAAGACAATAAACAATGTGATATGAAAACTCTCAGCCAGCCTACCATATTTGTGTTTGTTTTTGAACTGCATAGTGGGAGGAGGTGCTCCTTAAAATTTTCACTTTGTAAACATTTATTCTTTGATTTTAACCATCACTGCTATAACCACCATCACTCGTGGATTCACCAAAAATTAAGTAAAGAATTATCTTATTTGTTTTTATAAAACTTTGTAAAATGTATGTAGAGCTCACATTTATTTCATTGTTTAATACTAGAAGTGTTTTGGATCTTTATTTAGAAGTTTGGTGATGTTTTGTGACCAGAAATATGCTATAGGAAATTGACTCTTGTTTATATCATTTAGCCTATGCTAAAATTGGTTTTGTTATATACCATCTTACTCAAAGTTGCCATTTCCAATCACCTATCGACGATGTTAAGTGAGAACTTACTGTATTCAAATATATCTAAATATTCAGTACAGTGGGCCAGGCATGGTGGCTCATGCCCATAATCCCAGCACTTTGGGAGGCCAAGGCAGGAGGATCACCTGAGCCCAGGAGTTCAAAACCAGCCTGGGCAACATAGCAGACCTTGTCTTTACAAAATATTAAAAATTTTTCTGGGTCTCAGCTACTCAGGAGGCTAAGGCAAGAGGATCACTTGAGCTCAGGAGGTTAAGCCTACAGTGAGCCATGTTTGCATCACTGCACTCAGCTTGGGCAAAATAATGAGACCCTGTCCCCAAAAATAAATATATATTCAGTACACTGTCAGTAGAGATAATCTCTACATCTTATCTCTGCTGTCCCTTCTGTATCCACAGTTTTCTTGCAACACCTTCTCAGTATTTATTGAATCATTTTCCTCCTCTCCAAACTTTCTCTTTTGCTCTAGCTTAGGCTATTTGTTTCCAACTTTTGCGTGGACTGTGGCAGA
Organism: Homo sapiens; assembly: GCF_000001405.40. Taxonomy (NCBI): domain Eukaryota; kingdom Metazoa; phylum Chordata; class Mammalia; order Primates; family Hominidae; genus Homo; species Homo sapiens. The sequence continues at coordinate 446,642 of NW_021160024.1, read as the reverse complement.
GCCTTCAATTTGGTCTCTGTCTCCAGTTTTATCCCTAACTAATTCACCAAGACCCTCATATAAAAATCGCAAGACTCATTATGTTACTTCCTGCCTAAAACCTTCCCATGGTGCCTTACTTTGCCAAAGTGGGGGGAGACCTTTCTATGATCTGGCCCACCAAGCTCATTCTCCTCCCTCCTTTCCTTGTCCTGTATGTTCCAGCAACACTAAATTACTTGTTGAACCCCATTTAGGTGTATTGTTTCTTATCACCATTCCTTTATTCATGCTGCCTTCTCTACTTGCTTGTAACCTGTCCTTTACCAAAATAATGAGAGACATAGTGCATTAGAAAATAAAGTAAACATTTCTGTTTTCTTTCTCAGAAAAATGAACTGTCATGTATGTTTATTTTCTTTCTTTTAAGGGATGTTACTGGCTGGTTTTACAATTAGGAATGTTCCATTCATCAATGAACATGTCCATGTTCCTAACGCATGGTCTTCAATTTTAAGAAGCATTGCCCTTAACATTATTCTAATACGAGTTGGGCTTGGACTCGATCCACAGGTAGATTTTACAATTACAAATCGAGTAAGGTTATTTCAAATATTAGAGGATGGTGAGAAAGAAAAAGAAGCACATATTTTATTTACCTGTTCCAAGTGGAGTCTGTAAACAAACCTAAGATAAAGAAAAAAAGGCCGGGCATGATGGCTCATGCCTGTAATCTACAAAAATTAGCCGGGCATGGTGGCATTTACCTGGTAATCCCAGCTACTCGGGAGGCTGAGGCAAGAGAATCGCTTGAACCTGAGTGACAGAGGTTGCAGTGAGCTGAGATAGTGCCACTGCAATCCAGCCTGGGGGACAGAGTGAGACTCCGTCTCAAAAAACAAAACAAAACAAACAAAGGTTTTATAAGAAAAACCTTATACAATTCTTTTTCTTTTCTTAGGGAGATGAAGGATTTCAGTAATTTTTTATGACGTTTTCTCTACAGGATTATTTTCCTGATTATCTTTGCATTATTGTAAAATCTAATCTTTTAAAGCATTTCTTAAAATATTACATTCTAGGGATCATAAATCCCATCTATAAGAAGATGACTATTCATGAATATGACAGCCACTCAAATAAATGTGGCAAATGTGGTTTAATAGAAATAGCTCAAGAGCATAAATAATTATAGCCAATGAGATTATATTCTCCAGTAGAAAGTATGAACCAAGGAGAAAATTGAAAAGTTCTCCCTTTTAAAATGAATTATGCAGTTTTTAAGCTATTTTCTTTGGCATGTTAGTATTGTATTTATACTTATTAAGTTAATCAAACAGTTCATATCAAAAAGTTAATGGGAAAACACTAATAGGACACTATTATTATACTACGTATTAGGAAAGTTCAGGAAGGTAGCTTTAGCTATTTAATCACAGTAAAATTGATCTTTTAATAATTAAAATACAGTAATATTTTATAAAAGATGAAATTGTTTATAATCCAACCTATGATGACATATAAAATATAATAGAGTTCAAAGTCCAGTGGGACAATCTGTTGAAATGAGATTTTGTTTAGTGAAAGCTTCTTATGAAAAAAGACTTTATAGTCCAACATTTGTTAAAATAATTTTCTTGTTGGCCATTGTAAATGTATCAAATGTGACTGCTTTCTGTTTCAGGCTTTGAGGCATTTGAAGGTGGTTTGTTTCAGATTGGCTGTAGGTCCACGCCTTATGGAGGCAAGTGCAGCTGCTGTTTTTTCCCACTTCATTATGAAATTTCCCTGTCAATTGGCAATTCTATTAGTGTAATTTCTTTCTCATTTTTTCTTGTGAAAATATTCAATTAAGGATGCTTGGTTAAAACTGTTAAAATATTCAGAATATTGTATAGAAAAGCTCTATTAAAATTCATTTCACAGTGTTAAAATCCTTGGAAAGCAGTTGATTAAAAGCAGAGCATGTCCCAAATTGCACGAAATTTTTTTAGCAAACATTCATAGCCCCTAAATGTTTATCATCAAGAAAATTCACGTGATCAATTTATTCCTTTTCGTCTGTATTATAACATATCTGTATGTTTTAATCTATCTAATGGCCTCTTCCTCATAGCTATATGTAAATACAGTTGCACATTTCATATATATGTATGTGTGTATATATATATGATAAACATTTTATATAGACATAGGTGTATAAATATAAACTCTCCCATTTTAAAGAAAGCAAACAAAAACTCTTGCTGTATATCCAGTGCCCCATCCATCTTTATCTACCATCCATTTGTCTCATGTTTGAATTCCTCAAAATAAGTCTATAACTACTGTCTCTAGATCCTAACTCCTTTTCACTTCTTAATTCATCAACTTTTGTCTCTGCTTATCCATTCCAATGACACTCATAGCAAAGTTCATCCATTACATAGTTACTACAAAATCCAGTGAATTTTTAAATTAATGTTTATGATAAAATACTCAAATGCACTTTTATTTTAAAAATTAGAACTTTATAAATAAAGGAGGAATGACCTTAAACTATGGCTTCAAATCATAATGCCCATAACTCTACCCAAAATGACAACCCTTAGGAGTTTTTTTCTTCTCCAATTTTTATTTTGGCTCAAGTGGTACATGAGCAGGCTTGTTATATGGAGAAATTGCATGTCACAGGGGTTTGGTATGCAGATTATTTTGTCACCCAGGTTGTAAGCATAATACCCAATAGGTAGTTTTTCTATTCTCCCCCTCCTTCCAGCCTCCACCCTCAAATTCACCTAGTGACGATTGTTCCCTTCTTTCTGTCCATGTGTACTCAGTGTTTAGCTCCCACTTATAAGTGAGAATATGGGATATTTGGTTTCCTGTTCCTGTGTTAATTCACTTTGCATAATGGCCTCAACTCCATCCACGTTGCTCCAAAGGACATGATCTCGTTCTTTCTTATGGCTGTGTATTATTCTATGGTGTATATGTGCCACATTTTCTTTATCCAGTTCACCATTGATGGGCATTTAGGTTGATCTCATGTCTTTTTTATTTTTTTCATTAGTTTTTAAGGAACAGGTGGTGTTTGTTTACATGGAAAATATTTTAGTGGTAATTTCTGAGATTTTGGTGCACCCATCACCAGAGCAGTGTACACTGCACCCGAGGTGTAGTCTTTTATCCCTCACCCTCCTCCTACTCTTCCCCCTAAGTCCCCAAAGTCCATTGTATCATTCTTATGCTTTTGCATCCTCATAGCATAACTCCCACTTATAAGTCAGAACATACAATGTTTGGTTTTTTCATTCCTGAATTACTTCACTTAGAATAATGGTGTCTGACTCCTTCCAGGCTGCTGTGAATGCCATTATTTCATTCCTTTTTATAGCTGAGTAGTATTCCGTCCCTGGTCTGTGTGTGTATATATATATACACACATACACATATATGTGTCTATATACACACATATATATATACACCACATTTTCTCTATGCATTCATTGATTGATAGGCATTTGAGCTAGTTCCATATCTTTCACAATTGCAAATTGTGCTGCAATAAACGTGTGTGCAAGTGTTTTTTTTCATATAATGACTTCTTTTCCTCTGGGTAGCTACCCAGTAGTGGGATTGCTAGATCAAATGGTAGATCTACTTTTAATTCTTTAAGAAATCTTCATGCTCTTTTCCATAGTGGTTATATTAGTTTACATTCCCCCCAGCAGTGTAAAAGTGTTCCCTTTTTACCACACCCATGGCAACATCTATTTTTTTTTAATTTTTTGATTATGGCTATTCTTGGAGGAGTGAGATGGTATCGCATTGTGGTTTTGTTTGCATTTCCTTGATAATTAGTGATATTGAGGATTTTTTCATGTTTCTTGGCCATTTATATCTGCTTTTGGGAAGTGTCTATTCATGTCCTTAGCACACTTTTTGATAGGATAATTTGTTTTTTTCTTGCTGATTTGTTTGAGTTCCTTATAGATTCTGGATATTAGTACTTTGTTGGATGCATAGTTTGTAAAGATTTTCTCCCACTCTGTAGGTTGTCTTTTTACTCTGCTGATTATTTCTTTTGCTGTGTAGAAGCTTCTTAGTTTAATTAAGTCCCATCTATTTATCTTTGTTTTTGTTGCCTTTGCTTTTGGGTTCTTGGTCATGAAATCTTTGCCTAAGCAAATATCTAGAAGGGTATTTCCAATGTTACCTTCTAGAATTTTTATAGTTTTAGGTGTTAGATTTAAGTCTTTGATCCATCTTGAGTTGATTTTTGTGTAAGGTGAGAGATGAGGATGCAGTTTCATTCTTCTACATATGGCTTGCCAATTATCCCAGCACCATTTGTTGAATATGGTGTCCTTTCCCAACTTTATGTTTTTGTTTCCTTTGTTAAAGATCAGTTGGCTTAAGTATTTCGCTTTATTTCTCGGTTCTCCATTCGGTTCCATTAGTCTATGTGCCTATTTTTATACCAGTATTATGCTGCTTTGGTGACTATAGACTTATAGTATAGCTTGAAGTCAAGCAATGTGATGCATCCACATATGTTCTTTTTGCTTAGTCTTGCTTTCGTTATGCATGCTATTTTTGGGTTCCACATGAATTTTAGGATTGCTTTTTCTAGTTCGGGGAAGAATGATGATGTAGATTGCTTTTGGCAGTATGGTCATTTTCACAATATTGATTCTACCTATCCATGAGCATGTGATGTGTTTCTATTTGTTTGTGTCATCTATGATTTCTTTCTGCAGTGTTTTGTAGTTTTCACTGTAGAGGTCTTTCACCTCCTTGGTTAGGTATATTCCTAAGTTGGTTTGCTTGGGGTTTTTTCTTTGGTTTTGTTTGTTTGTTTGTTTTGTTTTTTTTTTGTAGCTGTTGTAAAAGGGGTTGAGATCTTGATTTAATTCTCAGCTCAGTCACTGTCGGTGTATACCAGTGCTACTGATTTGTGTACATTGATGTTGTATCCTGAAACGTTACTGAATTCATTTATCAGATCTGGGAGCTTTTTGGATGAGTCTTTAGGGTTTTCTCATTATATGATCATATCATCAGGAACAGCAACAGTTTGACTTCCTCTTTACTGATTTAGATGCCCTTTATTTCTTTCTCTTGTCTGATTGCTCTGGCTAGGACTTCCAGTACTATGTTGAATAGAAGTGGTGAAAGTGGGCAACCTTGTCTTGTTCCAGTTCTCGGGGGAATGCTTTCATCTTTTCCCCATTCAGTATAATGTTGACTGTGGGTTTTTCTTTTTTTCTTTTTCTGTATTTTTTTTTTTTTTTGAGATGGAGTCTTGCTCTGTTGCCCAGGCTAGACTGCAATGGCCCAATCTCAGCTCACTGCAACCTCTGCCTCCCAGGTTCAAGCAATTCTCATGCCTCAGCCTTCCAAAAACCTGGGAGTAGCTCCCCAAGCTTGCCCGCATCTATTACTTTTTGACTTTTTAATAATAGCCATTCTGCCTCCTGTGAGGTTGTATCTCATTGCACTTTTGTTTTGCATTTCTCTAATGATTAGTGATGTTGAATATTTTTCCGTATACTTGTTGACTACCTGTTTGTCTTCTTTTGAGAAGTGTCTTTTCCTGTCCTTTGCCCATTTAATGGGGTTGTTAGATTTTTGCTTGTTGATTTTTCTAAGTTCTTTTTGGATTCTGGATATTAGACTTTTGTCGAATGCATGGTTTGCAAATATTTTCTCCCATTCCATAGGTTGTTTGTTAATGATTTCTTTTGCTGTGCAGAAGCCCTTTAGTTTAATTAGGTCCCATTTGTGAATTTTTGTTTTTGTTGTAATTGCTTTTGGCATCTTTGTCATAAAGTGTTTTCCAGAATTGAAATTTCCTAGGATATGTCCAGAATGGCCTGTGTCCAGAATGGTATTTCTTAGGCTATCTTCCAGGGTTTTTATAGTTTTGGGTTTTACATTTAAGTCTTTAATCTACCTTGAGTTGATTTTTGTAAACGGTGAAATGTATGGAGTCCAGTTTCAATTTTCTGCATACGGCTAACCAGTTATCCCAGCACAATTTCCAAGTAGGGATTCCCTTCCCCATTGCTTGTTTTTGTCAAGTTTGTTGAAGAGTAGATGGCTATAGCTGTGCAGCTTTATTTCTGTGTTCTGTAACCTGTTCCACTGGTCTATGTCTGTTTTTGAGTTCCTTATAGATTCTGGATATTAGTACTTTGCTGGATGCATAGTTTGTAAAGATTTTCTCCCACTCTGTAGGTTGTCTTTTTACTCTGCTGATTATTTCTTTTGCTGAGCATAACCATGCTGTTTTGCTTACTGTAGCATTGTAGTACAGTTCGAAGTCAGGTAGTGTGACGCTTTCGACTTTGTTCTTTTTGCTTAGGATTGCTTTGGCTATTTGGGCTTTTTTTTTTTTTTTTTTTTTTTTTGGCTCCAAATGAATTTTAGAATGCTTTTTTTTAATCCTGTGAAAAATGTCATTGGTGTTATGATAGGAATAGCATTGACTCTGTAAATAGCCTTAGACAGTATGGCCATTTTAACAATATTGCTTCTTCCTATCTGTGATCATGGAATGTTTTCCTTTTGTTTCTGTTGTCTCTGATTCTTTGAGCACTCGTTTGTAATTTTCATTTTATAGATTTTTCACCTCCCTGCTTAGCTGTATTCCAAGGTATTTTGTGGTTTTTTTGTGGCTACTCTGAATGGGATTGCATTCTTGATTTGGCTGTCAGCTTGGATGTTGTTGGTGTATAGAAATGCTACAGATTTTTGTACATTGATTTTTGTATCCTGAAACTTTGCTGAAGTCATTTATCAGATCTGGGAGCTCTCGAGAGGCTACTATGGGGTTTTCTTGGTATAAAACTGTTTCACCTATGAAGAGGCATAGTTTGACTTCCATTCTTCCTATTTAGATGTCTGTGTTTCTTTCTCTTGCCTAATTGCACTGGTTAGGACATCCAGCACTATGTTGAATAGGAGTAGTGAGAGTGGGCATCCTTGTCTTGTTCCAGTTCTCAAAGGGAATATTCCAGCTTTTTCCCATTCAGTATGAAGTTGGCTGTGGGTTTGTCATAAATGGCTCCAATTATTTTGAGGTATGCTCCTTCAGAAACTCATTTGTTGAGGGTTTATATCATGAAGGGATGTTTTTATTTTTAGTTCTATTTTATGATGAATCACATTTATTGGTTTGTATATCTTGAACCAAACTTGCATCCCAGGGATAAAGCTTACTTGATCATAGTAGACTAGCTTTTTGATATGCTGCTGGATTCAGTTGGCTTGTATTTTGTTGAGGATTTTTGCATCTATGATCATCAGTGATAACTGTCCTGAAGTTTTCTTTTTTGTTGTGTCTCTGCCAGGTTTTCATATCTGAATGATGCTGACCTCATAAAATGAGTTAGGGAGGGATCCTTCCTCCTCATTTTTTTCAGAATAATTTCAGTAGCATTGGTACCAGCTCTTCTTTACACTTCCGGTAGAATTTGTCTGTGAATCTGTTGGGTCCTGGGCTTGCTTTTTTTTTTTGGCTCAGAGACTTTTTATTACTCATTCAGTTTCAAAACTCGTTTTTGGTTTGTTCAGGATTTCAATTTCTTCCTAGTTCAATCTTGGGAGGTTGTATGTTTCCAGAAATTTACCCATTTCTTGTAGGTGTTCTACTTTGTTTGCATAAACATGTTCATCATAGTCTGTGAGAGTTTTTTATATTTCTGTGTGGTTGGCGGTAATGTCCACTTTACCATTTCTGATTGTGTTTTTTGTATCTTCTCTTTTTTTTTTCCTTATTGGTCTAGCTAGTGACCTATCAAATTTATTTATTCTTTTGAAGAACCAGCTTTTAGTTTCATTTATCTTTTGTATGGCTTTTCATGACTCAGTTTCATTCCATTCTGCTCGGATTTTGGTTATTTATTTTCTTCTGCTAGCTTTGGGTTTCTTTTCCTCTTGTTTTTCTATTTCCTTTAGGTATGATATTAGGTTGTTAATTTAAGATCCTTCTAACTTTTCAATATGGGCATTTAGCACGATAAACTTTTCCCTTAACAATGCTTTGCCTGTGTCTTAGAGAGCCTAGAATGTTGTATCTTTGTTTTAATCAGTTTCAAAGAATTTATTGGTTTCTGCCTTAATTTCACTGTTTACCCAAAAGTCATTCAGGCACAGGTTGTTTAATTTCCATGTAATTGTATGGTTTTGAGAGTTCTTCTTAGTGTTGACTTCTATTTTTGTTACACTGAGTGGTCCAAGAGTGTGGTTGGCATGATTTCAGGGGTTTCTTTTAATTTATTGAAAATAATTTTAGACTGATAGTGTGATCAATTTTACAATATATGCCATGTACAGATGAGAGGAAGATATATTCTGTTGTTGTTGGGTGGAGTGTTCTGTAGATGGCTGTTAGGTCCATTTAGCCAAGTGTTGACTTCAAGTCCTGAATATCTTTGTTCATTTTCTGTCTCTATGATCTGTCTAGTACTGTCAGTGAGATGTTGAAGTCTCCCACTATTATTCTGTGGTTATCTAATTCTCTCTATAGGTCTCTATGAACTTGTTTTACTAATATGAATGCTCCAGTTTTGAGCACATTTATGTTTCAGACAGTTAAGTCTTCTTGTTGAATTGAACCCTTTATCATTACGTAGTGCCCTTCTTTGTCTTTTTGATTGTTGTTGGTTTAAAGTCTATTTTGTCTGAATTAGAATAACAATGCTTACCTTTTTTTGTTTTGCATTTGCTTGGTAGATTTTTTTCCATCCTTTTACTTCAAGCCAATGGGTATTGTTGCATATGAGCTGGGTCTCTTGACAACAGATACGGTTGGGCTTTGCTTCTTTAACCAACTTGCCATTCTGTGAGTTTTAAGCGGGGCATTTATACTGTTTACATTCACAGTTAATATTGGTATTTATAGCTTTGGTCCTGCCATTATGTTGTTAGCTGGTTATTATGCAGACTTGATTGTTATTATGCAGGCTTTACAACGTCAATGGTCTATGTACTTAAATGTATTTTTGTGGTGGCCATTAACAGTCTTTCACTTCCACGCTTAGCACTCCCTTAAGGACCTCTTGTAAGGCATGTCTGGTGGTAACAGATTCCGTCAGCATTTGTTTGTCTGAAAAGGATCTTACTTCTCGTTCACATATGTTTAGTTTGGCTGGATATTAAGTTCTTGGTTGAATTTTTTTTTTTTTTTTTTTTTTTTTTTTGTGACAGAGTCTTGCTCTGTCCCCAGACTGGAGTGCAGTGGTGCTATCTCGGCTCACTGCAACCTCCACCTCCTGGGTTAAGTGATTCTCTTGTCTCAGCCTCCCGAGTAGCTGGGACTACAGACACGCACCACCATGCCCAGCTAATTTTTGTATTTTTATTAGAGATGAGGTTTCACCATGTTGGCCAGGATGGTCTTGATCTCTTGACCTTGTGTTCCACCCCTCTCAGCCTCCCAAAGTGCTGGGATTACAGGCATGAGCCACCACACCCGGCCAAGTATTTTTTTTTTTTAAGAATGCTGAAGGCCGGGCATGGTGGCTCACACCTGTAATCCCAGCACTTTGAGAGGCCGAGGTGGGCAGATCACGAGGTCAGGAATTTGAGACCACCCTGGCCAATATGGTGAAATCCTGTCTCTACTAAAATTACAAAAAATTGCCGGGTGTTGTGGTGCGCACCTGTAGTCCCAGCTACTTGGGAGGCTGAGGGAGAAGAATTGCTTGAACCCGGGAAGTGGAGGTTGCAGTGAGCCGAGATAGCACCAGTGCACTCCAGCCTGGGCAACAGAGTGAGATTCCGTCTCAAAAAAAAAAAAAAAAGAATGCTGAATATAGGCCCCCAATTTCTTTTGGATTGTAGAGTATCTTATAGTTCCACTGTTAGCCTGATGGGATTCCCTTTGTATGTGACCTGCCCCTTCACTTTAGCTGCCTTTCATATTTTTTTATTTCATGTTGACCTTGGAGAATCTGATGTCTGTCTGTCTTGGGGATGGTCATCTTGTATAGTATCTCACAGGATTCTCTGCATTTCCTGGATTTAAATGGTGACTTCTCTAGCAAGATTTGGGAAATTTTTGTGGGCAGTATCCTCAAATATGTTTTCCAACTTGCTTGTTCTTTCTCCCTTTCTTTGAGTGATGCCTTGAGTCATATGTTTGGTCTCTTTACATAATCTCAGATTTCTCAGAGGTTTTGTTCATTCTTTTTTGTTCTTTATTTTCGTCTGACTGAGTTGATTCAAAGAAGTGGTCTTTGAGATCTGAGATTCTTTCCTCAGCTTGGTCCGTTCTGCTGTTAGTATTTGTTATTGTTTTATGAAATTCTTGAGGTGCATTTTTCAGCTCTATCAGTTTAGTTTGGTTCTTTCTTAAAATGCCTATTTCATCTTTCAGCTCTTATGTCATCTTATTGGATTCCTTAAATTATTTGGATTGGATTTTGACTTTCTTCTGAATCTCAATGATCTTTGTTTCTATCCAGATTCTGAATTCTATGTCTGTCATTTAATCCTGGTTAACAACCATTGTTGAAGAGTTAGTATGATTGCTTGAAGACAGGAAGACATTCTGGCTTTTTACATTGCCAGAGTTCTTGCACTGGTTCTTTCACATCTGTGTGGGCTAAGGTTCCTTTAATGTTTTGAATCACTGTCCTTTGGATGGAGCTTTTTCCTTTTTTATATTCTTTAATGCCCTTGAGGGTTTGACTGTGGCACAAGGTAGTTTCAATCAAATGGCTTCATTTCTGGAAGATTTCAGGGGGCAAAGGCTCAGCTCAGCACTCCTGAACGGCGTGCTCTAACTTTGCAAGGCTGGTACCATACTCACAGATTTGTTGTCTGGCCCTTCAATGTTAAGCACTGAGGTGTTCCCAGTCCACTGGCAACAACACTCTGATGGGGTGTGCCAGCCAAAGTGCTTCATTGTAGTGATCTCACACATATGTGCCAGCAGCAGCAGCACACAGCAGGTATGCATGTGTTGGCAGGGGTGCAGCGCCGGCAGGAGTGGGATGGGGTGTTCTGCATACTTGCACGTGCCAGCCGGGGCAATGGTGTTGTGGGGTGCACTCATGTGCTGCTGCAGACAGAGTGGCAGCATCTTCATGAGTTTTATGTTATCATTCTAGATCTTTAAAAATAATGTTCTGGACTTCTAACAAATGTATTTGTGAACCCAGAGAAAAAAAGAGTATTATTTTGCACATTTTTACGTAATCATACCCAAGAAAATTTTACTTTACAATTTGTTCTTTTCACTCAACAATAGTCTTGAGGTTTATCCATCTCAAGATGGATACACATGTAGTTTATTCCTTTTAGTTGTATAAGATTACATTGTATGTCAACAGCAGATTTTATTTACAATGTTATCACAAAAATAGCATTTTATTTGTCTCATTTTACATAAATATAAGTTTGTCTAGAATAGTTACCTGGGTTACATGCATTTTTAGTTTGATGTATACTGCGAAAATCCTTTCGGTATGGCCACTTTAATTTGCCCTAATACCAATAGCTTATGAGCATACCTGTTGTTCTTGAAAATCCTTGCAAATCCTTGATATTATTAAATTTTATAATGTTTTCCAGTCTGATAATTGAAAAAATGGCATATTTTTGTTATTTTAATTTGCATTTCTGTGATTATTCACAAGCTTGAATATCTTTTATATATGTGTTGTCCTTCAGCTTTTCCTTATCTGTAACTAGCCTGTTCATATCTTTTGTCTATTTTTTTGTTGAGTTGGTCTTCTTTATTAATTATATCTGTTATGTGCATTTGTAAATTATATGTATTGCAAATATCAGTAGATATTTAATTTTGTTTGTGATGATTTTTTTTTCACTCTAAGAAGTGTATTTTGTTATTTTCAACAGACAGAATTGCCAATACACAACACCGTTCACTTGACTTTGAAAATGAAAAAGAGAAAAAGGGGGAGAAAGAGCAGAATTGCTTTTGAAGTAGCACTTTATTATAGTACTTTTGAAGTTGCTTTTGAAGTACTACTTTAATATAATTGAATGTATCAAAATCTCTTTTTATGTCTAATGCCTTTGTATGTATCATTCAAAAGGTCCTTTTTACCTCATGATCACAAATATATTATTCTACATCTTTTTTTTGTTGTTCAGAGTCTTGCTGTCACCCAGGCTGTAGTGCAGTGGCATGATCTCAGCTCACTGCAACTTCCACCTCCCAGGTTCAAGTGATTCTTCTGCCTCAACCTCCCAAGTAGCTGGGACTACAGGCATGCACCACTGCACCCAGCTATTGGTTTCACCATGTTGGCCAGGCTGGTCTCAGATTCCTGATCTGTCCACCTCAGCCTCCCAAAGTGCTGGGATTACAGGTGTGAGCCATCACGCCTAGCCCACAACATTTTCTTATTACTACTTTTCCTTTTGAGCTTTTAACATTTATTATGTGTAAGGATCTATCTATATTCCTTTCCACATAAATAGTTATCTCAACACCATTTGTGAAAGATTTCTTTCTTTCTCCCACTGATTTAAAATACCAATTGTATGATGTAACAAATCCCATGGATTTGTTTCCACACTTTGTATTCTCTTTTCTTCCAATTTATTTTGTCTATTTATATGTCACTATTATTTAGTTTTAACTATTTTACCTTTACAAAAACAGTATCTTGTTCTCTTAAGTTTACTTGATCTTTCATTCTAAGATCTTATTCTTCCAAATGAATTTTATAATCAGCTTGTCAAGCTCAGTAAAAATCCCTGCAATGATTTTGATTGGTGTATCTCTGATTAATTCATTTGGGGGAGAGATTACATCTTTATATTATTGAGGCTTTGGCTGGGCGTGGTGGCTGACACCTATAATCCCAGCACTTTGGGAGGCCAAGGCAGGCATATCACTTGAGGTCAGGAGATCAAGACCAGCCTGGCCAAAATGGTGAAACACCGTATCTACTAAAAACACAAAAACTAGCCAGGCGTGGTGTTGGGCGATGGTAAAATTGGGGCTTTTTATTTCACACTTGTGAAATGTCTCTCTAAGTATTCAGGTATTATCTTAATTATTATATTATTATATTCACAATTTTTATAAAAGTATAGACTGTCTTCACAGTTTTGTTCTTAGATACTTTGTGTTTTTAATTGATGTTGTGGATTAAATTCTCTTTGATCACTTATTCCTGGGGAAGCCAGCTGCCATGTCCTGAGGCAGCCCTGTGGAGAAAACCCCACTGGAAAAAACTGAAGCCTGCAATGGCTACATGAGTAAACTTGGAAGCAGATCTTCTCCACCCCACCCTACCTCATGGGAAATCTTAAGTCAAGGCATACAACTAAGCCATGCCCAGATTCCTGACCCACAGAACTCATAAGACAATAAATATTTGTTGTTTTAAGCTGCTATGTTTGGGGATGACTTGTTAAGCAAAATGAGAAAAATAATACAACAGGTGATTACAATGTGCAGCAGAGTTCAGGAACCACTGAACTAGACCAGTATGTGGTCTTAGAGAAGTCTAGTCTCTTCTTGAGCGCACAGGGAAATCTGTAGCATAAACTGCGCCATAGAGTTGTACAGCCAGAAGCAAATCTCACATCAGTCCGTCATTGGCAGATGCTGTCTGGAGGGAAAGTAGAGGGGTACACAACCTTCCTAGTATTCCCAGGTAGGTGCTTGTCAGCAGGACAAGGGTTCTAGAAACCTGCAGATATTAGCAGCCAACAAGAATCACTGGGAGATGTGTTCATTGACCTGGTAAATGGATTCTGGCAGGAGCACCAAAAGCATTTCTACACAGGATATACTTCACGCTTTATAAAGTAAATGTAGAAGAGATGAGGTGAAATTCTGGATAAGATATGCCAATAGAAGGTATTCTGAGCAGGAGCCTCCCCATTTCTCATGGGTGTCATCAACCACTCCAGAAATGTTCTCATTTGCCTTTGTAACTTAGGTGGCCACACTTGTTTTTTTGGGCAGACAACTCTGTTCCTTCCTTCCTTACTTACTTATTTACTCAAGAGGTAGGAAATGTGTGGAAGGTAGATTTGTCTGACCATTCTTACAGTGGTACTCCAAATAATCAACTATTTGGTTTCCCCAGAGGTCTCTCCTGCTCCCAGCATCTGTCATTTCAGGGCTTGGACCACTTTTAGAAGCACATGTATCTTTTGAGGCAATCTTATTTACACACATTTTGGTTTATGGTTTCCTTTTTTCAATCCTAAATTGTCTGTCTCTTTTCTTTCTGGCATATACTTAGTTTCTTGTCCATTGATGATTCACCTTTTGCTTTCTAGTTAGGTTATGAATTTTTCTATTACCTTTACATCTTCACTTCAAAGGATTTAGGAATAGAGGGAAAGGCTGCAACCTGTGCTCAGCCCAACATTTTAAACCACGTCTGTATAAAATTTTAGCCAGCACTAAACAATGCATGAAAAGTTTTATCACCATTAAATTGCATTCACTCAAATTTGAAATTCTTCTAAACAATGTTTGTTATAAATTTATTATAAACTAGTTGTACTTAAAAAACACTACTTGATTAAAAAGATGCTTTTAAATTAATTTTCATTCTTTCTTTCAGTTTTGTTCTAGGTGCTGTCTCTCCTGCTGTTGTTGTCCTTTACACAATGGTGTCGCAAGAAAATGGATATGGTGTTGAGGAAGACATTCCAACCTTACTAATGGCTGCTAGCAGTATGGATGACATTCTGGCTATCACTGGATTCAATACATGCTTGAGCATAGTCTTCTCCTCGGGTAAACAAGAAAATATAACAACCACCAGATCATTCATGACCTTTTTTGTTAGTTCTTTAAACAGGGTTTCTGGCTTTGCTTCTTCATTTAATAACCAAGACTGTTCAATTTAACATCTTTTTAATCTCCATAGAAAGCTCATTCCAGACCAAGGAAGATATTTCAGTGGCTTAAGATACCACTACTTAACACACATGATCTCACTTTAATAATCATGTGACAATTAATTTGATAAACCATATTATTACTATTTGTCTGCTTATGTTGCTTTTGAATTTTATCAGTTCTAATTAGAAAAAATTAAGCAGCAGTATTATTTGTACTACTAATATTTCAATAGGCATTTTTGAAATGTGCCTTTTTGGCCATCCTAATAAACA
The DNA here is from genome assembly GCF_000001405.40 of Homo sapiens. Classification (NCBI taxonomy): domain Eukaryota; kingdom Metazoa; phylum Chordata; class Mammalia; order Primates; family Hominidae; genus Homo; species Homo sapiens. The sequence goes on along the minus strand of NW_021160024.1, from coordinate 431,555 downwards.
ACTGGTTGCTCTATTATAAGACAACATAAACATACAGAGCTGGGACAGCCATATGCTTTTTTGGTAGTGTTAGGACAAGATCCTGCACCAGTTCTGATTCCCAAGGTGATATCTGGTCTTGAATATCACTACAGAAATTGTGAAACTAAACATTTCCACATTTAGTAATGCTTTAATTATCTGTAATGTTTGAGTCTTCTGTATTATTGAAGCGCTAAACTATTTTTAAGTTGAAAAGTAATATATATAGTTTTATAGTTTCTCTTAAAATAAGAAAATATAAATAAATAAGAAAAAGAGGAAAAGTTAAAAATAAAATCTGCAATAGTCACATCCAGAAGAAAAGAATCATTTCCTTCTGAACCTTTTGATATAAATCCACCCATATTCCCTTCCCTTCCCTTCTTCCCTTCTTTCCTTCCCTTCCCTTCCCCTCTCCTCCCCCTTCCCTTCCCTTCCCCCTCTCTCTGTCAAATATTCTTATAAAAATCAGTGAATATTGACCAATATGTTCTTTTATTTTTTTTTTTTTGAGGAGGAGTCTTGCTCTATCACCCAGGTTGGAGTGCAGTGGCACAATCTCGGCTCACTGCATGCTCTGCCTCCCGGGTTCATGCCATTCTCCTGCCTCAACCTCCCAAGTAGTTGGGACTACACGCGCCCGCCACCACGCCCGGCTAATTTTTTTTTGTATTTTTAGTAGAGCCAGGGTTTCACCGTGTTAGCAAGGATGGTCTTGATCTCCTGACCTCGTGATCCGCCTGCCTCGGCCTCCCAAAGTGCTGGGATTACAGGCATGAGCCATCGCACCCGGCCTAATATGTTCTTATAACCTGAATTGTTTTACACTTAACTGTATATCACAAACATGTTTCTTTTCAGTAAATGTATTTGTAAATCATTTTTAATAGTTGTTTAGCTTAATGAAAGAGTATTCAATGTGCTGCATCATGATTACTTATCCTGTTCAAAATTAAAGTTAACTCCAATATTTACTATTAAAATAATACTTAGTTGGGCTGCTATAAAAATATTTTTTAAATTAAAAAATTGGCCGGGCATGGGTGGCTCACACCTATAACCCCAGCACTTTGGGAGGCCAAGAAGGGTGGATCACTTGAGGTCAGGAGTTCAAGACCAGCCTGGCCAACCAACATGGTGAAACCCCGTCTCCACTAAAAATACAAAACTTAGCCGGGCATGGTGGTGGGCATCTGTAATCCCAGCTACTCAGGAGCATGAAGCAGAAGAATCACTTGAACCCAGGAGGCAGAGGCTGTAGTGAGCTATCCAGCCTGGGCAACAGAGCGAGACTCTGTCTCAAAAAATTTTTTTTTAATTAAAAAAATAATACTTAGTTGAACATATAGAGAAATATTTGTACCTAATTTTCATATTTTCTTAAGCCTAAAAGTGTAATTGTTGATCTAAAAGGTATATACATTTATGAGTATTCTGAAACATATTGCCACAATATCATGTCCTACCAAGGTACATAAACTTGTCATTTCCTCTCACCTCTCTTCAAAACTTGGTATTACTAGCCTTTTTCATCTTTGCTAATTTGATAGGTGAAGGAGGGATCTCTATAAATGAAGTACTTTGAATACTAGTGATGTTAAATATCCATGTTTATTAGTCATTGGCATTTTGTAAACTGCTTTTCTTGAAAGTTTTTTGCCTATTTCTTTTAGGTGGGTTCACCTTTTGTTCTTTTTGATTTGTCAAGATTCTGCATCAAATTGAGAATGAAAACCTTTGTTTTATATACTTTAGTTTTTTCAATTTGTAATTTGGCTTTTAATTTTCTCACTTTTTACCATTCAGAGCTTAAAGTTTTTTATTGTCAATTGTGAAAATCTTTTCCTTCATGATTGGTATCTGTCATTCTTTCAAAAAATATTGTTATCAGTTATGTTTCAAAAAAATATTTCCAGGCTGGGCCCAATGGCTCACGCCTATAATCCCAACACTTTGGGAGGCCAAAGCGGGGGGATCACTTGAGGACATGAGTTCAAGACCAGCCTGGCCAACATAGCAAAGCTCCATCTCTACTAAAAATACAAAATGTTAGCTGGGTGTGGTGGCACAGGCCTGTAATCACAGCTACTCAGGGGGCTGAGGCAGAAGAATCGCTTGAACCCAAGAGGCAGAGGTTGCAGTGAGCCAAGATCACACCACTGCCCTCCAGCCTGGTTGACAGGGGGAGACTGTCTGAAAAAAAGAAAAAAAAATCCTCTTCCTTTTGCCGGCTACTATGCCAAACACTGAGAATAAACGGTAGGCAACAACATCAGCTTTTACTGAATACTTGCTTGGCTCTTGTTCTACGTTCCATATATGTCACCACTCATTTACAGGTAAGGAAACTGAGAAAGATGTTAAGTAATTTACTCAAGGACAGAGATCCAATAAGTAGGGGAGCCAAGATGCAGATCTGACAGTCTCATTCCACACCCACACATTTAACTCTTCTCTTCTCCACTGCCGCCCAACACAACAGAGAGACAAGATCAAATGGTGCATGTTCTCAAGGAGCTTGTATATTAAAGAAAAATTACAAATGGGATGAATATTACATTGTGAAGGTTAATATGAAGTAAGTGTCAACTTGATTGGATTGAAGGATCCAAAGTATTGTTCCCGGTTGTGTCTGTGAGGGTGTTGCCAAAGGAGATTAACATTTATTTAGTGGACTGGGAAAGGCAGATCCACCCTCAATGTGGGTGGGCACCATACAATCAGCTGCCAGCATGGCTAGAATAAAGCAGGCAGAAGAAGGTTAGGAGAAGCTGACTTGCTGAGCCTTCTGGCCCTCATCTTTCTCCCATGCTGGATGCTTCCTGCACTCAAATATCAGACTCCAGGTTCTTTGGCTTTTGGACTCTTGGACTTACTCCAGTTGTTTTCCAGGGGTTCTCAGGCCTTCATCCAGAGACTCAAAGCTGGCCTGTCGGTTTCCCTACTTTTGAGGTGTTGGTTCTCGGACTGAGCCAATACTAGATTCCTTGCTCCTCAACTTGCAGACGGCCTGTTGTAGGACTTCACTTTGTGATGGTGTGATTCAATTCTCTTTAATAAACTCCCTTTCATATATATATATACTATTAGTTCTATCCCTCTAAAGAACCATGACTAATACAGATTTTGATACTGAGGTAATGGAATATTGCTATAAGATACCTGAGAATGTGGAAGTGACTTTGGAAGTGTGTAATGTGCAGAGTTTGGAACAGTTGGGAGGACTCAGAAGAAGACCAGAAGATGTGGGAAAGTTTGGAACTGCCTAGAGACTTGTTGAATGGCTTTGACCAAACCGCTGATAGTGACTTGGACAGTGAAGTCCAGGCTGAGGAGGTCCGAGATGGAGATGAACAACTTGTTGGGAACTGAAGTAAAGGTCACTCTTGCTATGCTTTAGCAAAGAGACTGGTGGCATTTTGCCCCTGCCCTACAGATTTATGGAACTTTGAAATTGAGAGAGATGACTGAGGACATCTGGTAGAAGAAACTGTTGTTGTTGTTGTTATACCTTAAGTTCTAGGGTACATGTGCACAACGTGCAGGTTTGATACATAGGTATACATGTGCCATGTTGGTTTGCTGCACCCATCAACTCATCATTTACATTAGGTATTTCTCCTAATGCTCTCCCTCCCCCAGCCCACCACCCCCCAACAGGCCCCAGTGTGTGATGTTCTCAGCCCTGTGTCCAAGTGATCTCATTGTTCAATTCCCATCTATGAGTGAGAACATGCGGTGTTTGGTTTTCTGTCCTTGTGATAGTTTTGCTGAGAATGATGGTTTCCAGCTTCATCTATCTCCCTGCAAAGGATATAAACTCATCATTTTTTATGGCTGCATAGTATTCCATGGTGTATATGTGTCACATGTCTTAATCCAGTCCATCATTAATGGACGTTTGGGTTGGTTCCAAGTCTTTGCTATTGTGAATAGTGCCGCAATAAACATACATGTGCATGTGTCTTTATAGTAGCTTGATTTATAATCCTTTGGGTATATACCCAGTAATGGGATTGCTGGGTCAAATGGTAATTCTAGTTCTAGATCCTGGAGGAATCACCACAATGTCTTTCACAATGGTTGAACTAGTTTACACTCCCACCAACAGTGTAAAAGCTTTCCTATTTCTCCATATCCTCTCCAGCATCTGTTGTTTCCTGACTTTTTAATGATTGTCATTCTAACTGGGGTGAGATGGTATCTCATTGTGGTTTTGATTTGCATTTCTCTGATGACCAGTGATGATGACCTTTTTTTCTTGTGTCTGTTAGCTGCATAGATGTCTTCTTTGGAGAAGTGTCTATTCATATCTTTGCCCACTTTTTGATGGGGTTGTTTTTTTCTTGTAAATTTGTTTGAATTCTTTCTTTGTCAAATGGGTAGATTGCAATTTATCTCCCATTCTGTATGTTGCCTGGTTCACTCTGATAGCAGTTTCTTTTGCCGTGTAGAAGCTCTTTAGTTTAATTAGATCCCATTTGTCAATTTTGGCTTTTGTTGCCATTGCTTTTCGTGTTTTAGTCATGAAGTCCTTGCTCATGCCTATGGCCTGAATGGTATTTCCTAGGTTTTCTTCTAGGGTTTTTATGGTTTTAGGTCTAACATTTAAGTCTTTAATCCATCTTGAATTAATTTTTGTATAAGATGTAAGGAAGGTATCCAGTTTCAGCTTTCTACATATGGCTAGCCAGTTTTCCCAGCATCATTTATTAAATAGGCAATCCTTTCCCCATTTCTTGTTTTTGTCAGGTTTGTCAAAGATCAGATGGCTGTAGTTGTGTGTGGTCTTATTTCTGAGGCCTCTGTTCTGTTCCATTGGTCTATATATCTGTTTTGGCACCAGTACCATGCTGTTTTGGTTACTGTAGCCTTGTAGTATAGTTTGAAGTCAGGTAGTGTGATGCCTCCAGCTTTGTTCTTTTTGCTTAGGATTATCTTGGCAATGCAGGCTCTTCTTTGGTTCCATATGAAATTTAAAGTAGTTTTTTTTCCAATTCTGTGAAGAAAGTCATTAGTAGCTTGATGGGGATGGTATTGAATCTATAAATTACTTTGTGCAGTATGGCCATTTTCATGATATTGATTCTTCCTATCCATGAGCGTGGAATACTCTTGCATTTGTTTGTGTCCTCTTTTAATTCGTTAAGCAGTGGTTTGTAGTTCTCTTGGAAGAGGTCCTTCTCGTCCCTTGTAAGTTGGATTCCTAGGTATTTTATTCTCTTTGTAGCAATTGTGAATGGGAGTTCACTCATGATTTGGCTCTCTGTTTGTCTATTAATGGTGTATAGGAATGCTTGTGATTTTTGCACATTGATTTTGTATCCTGAGACTTTGCTGAAGTTGCTTATCAGCTTAAGGAGATTTTGGGCTGAGACGGTGGGGTTTTCTAAATATGCAAACATGTCATCTGCAAACAGGGACAATTTGACTTCATCTTTTCCTAACTGAATACCATTTATTTCTTTCTCCTGCCTGATTCCAGTGGTCAGAACTTCCAACACCATGTTGAATAAGAATGGTGAGAGAGGGCATCCTTCTCTTGCGCCAGTTTTCAAAAGGAATGCTTCCAGTTTTTGCCCATTCAGTATGATATTGGCTGTGGGTTTGTAATAAATAGCTCTTATTATTTTGAGATACGTCCCATCAATACCTAATTTATTGAGAGTTTTTAGCATGAAGGAGTGTTGAATTTTGTCGAAGGTCTTTTCTGCATCTATTGAGATAATCATGTGGTTTTTGTCTTTGGTTCTGTTTATGTAATGGATTACGTTTATTGATTTGCATATGTTGAACCAGCCTTGCATCCCAGGGATGAAGCCCACTTGATCGTGGTGGATAAGCTTTTTGATGTGTTGCTGGATTTGGTTTGCCAGTATTTTATTGAGGATTTTTGCATCGATGTTCATCAAGGATATTGGTCTAAAATTATCTTTTTTTGTTGTATCTCTGCCAGACTTTGGTATCAGGATGATGCTGGCCTCATAAAATGAGTTAGGGAGGATTACCTATTGTTCTTTTTTTGTTTTTTGGACGAAAAAAGAACTGTTTAATTTTTTTGATGTTTTCAATGTTGATATTTTTTCCAAGAATTAGAGAAATATCTCTGGATGGTTATCTAAAATTTATAATTTTTGTACAGATATGGTATGTAGGAGAGTATCATAGTTTTTCTATTACTATACTTTAAGTTCTAGGGTACATGTGCACAATGTGCCGGTTTGTTACATATGTATATATGTGTCATGTTGGTGTGCTGCACCCATTAACTCGTCATTTACATTAGATATATCTCCTAATGCTATCCCCCCCTCACCCCACTCCATGACAGGCCCCAGCATGTGATGTTCCCCACCCTGTGTCCAAATGTTCTCATTGTTCAATTCCCACCTATGAGTGAGAACATGTGGTGTTTAGTTTTCTGTCCTTGCAATAGTTTTCTCAGAATGATGGTTTCTAGCTTCATCCATGTCCTTACAAAGGACATGAACTCATCCTTTTTATGGCTGCATAGTATTCCATGGTGTATATGTGCCACATTTTCTTAATCCAGTCTATCATTGATGGACATTTAGGTTGGCTCCAAGTCTTTGCTATTGTGAATAGTGCCGCAATAAACATACGTGTGCATGTGTCTTTATAGCAGCATGATTTACAATCCTTTGGGTGTATGCCCAGTAATAGGATGGCTGGGTGAAATGGTATTTCTAGTTCTAGATCCTTGAGGAATTGCCACACTGTCTTCTACAATGATTGAACTAGTTTACACTCCCACCAACAGTGTAAAAGTGTTCCTATTTCTCCATATCCTCTCCAGCACCTGTTGTTTCCTGACCTTTTAATGATCGCCATTCTAATTGGTGTGAGATGGTATCTCACTGTGGTTTTGATTTGCATTTCTCTGATGGCCAGTGATGATGAGCATTTTTTCATGTGTCTGTTGGCTGCATAGATGTCTTCTTTTGAGAAGTGTCTGTTCATACCCTTTGTCCACTTTTTGATGGGGTAGTTTGATTTTTTCATATAAATTTGTTTAAGTTCTTTGTAGATTCTGGATATTAGCCCTTTGTCAGATGGGTAGATTGTAAAAATTTTCTCCCATTCTGTAGGTTGTCTGTTCACTCTGATGGTAGTTTCTTTTGCTGTGCAGAAGCTCTTGAATTTAATTAGATCTCATTTGTCAATTTTGGCTTTTGTTGCCATTGCTATTGGTGTTTTAGTCATGAATTCCTTGCCCATGACTATGTCCTGAATGGTATTGCCTAGGTATTCTTCTAGGGTTTTTATGGTTTTAGGTTTGACATTTAAGTCTTTAATCCATCTTGAATTAATTTTTATATAAGGTGTAAGGAAGGGATCCAGTTTCAGCTTTCCACATATGGCTAGCCAGTTTTCCCAGCACCGTTTATTAAATAGGGAATCCTTTCCCCATTTCTTGTTTATGTCAAAGATCAGATGGTTGTAGATGTGTGGTATTATTTCCGAGGGCTCTATTCTGTTTCATTGGTCTGTATCTCTGTTTTGGCACCAGTACCATGCTGTTTTGGTGACTGTAGCCTTGTAGTGTAGTTTGAAGTCAGGTAGTGTGATGCCTCCAGCTTTGTTCTTTTTGCTTAGGATTGACTTGGCAATGCAGGTTCTTTTTTGGTTCCATATGAACTTTAAAGTTGTTTTTTCCAATTCTGTGAAGAAAGTCATTGGTATCTTGATGGGGAAGGCATTGAATCTATAAATTACCTTTGGCTGTATGGTCATTTTCATGATATTGATTCTTCCTATCCATGAGCATGGAATGTTCTTCCATTTGTTTGTGTCCTCTTTTATTTTGCTGAGCAGTGGTTTGTAGTTCTCCTTGAAGAGGTCCTTCACGTCCCTTGTAAGTTGGATTCCTAGGTATTTTATTCTCTTTGAAGCAATTGTGAATGGGAGTTCACTCATGATTTGGCTCTCTGTTTGTCTGTTATTGGTGTATAGGAATGCTTGTGATTTTTGCACATTGATTTTGTATCCTGAGACTTTGCTGAAGTTGCTTATCAGCTTAAGGAGATTTTGGGCTGCGATGATGGGGTTTTGTAAATATACAATCATGTCATCTGCAGACAGGCACAATTTGACTTCCTCTTTTCCTAATTGAATACCCTTTATTTCATTCTCTTGCCTGATTGCCCTGGCCAGAACTTCCAAGACTATGTTGAATAGGAGTGGTGAGAGAGGGAATCCTTGTCTTGTGCCAGGTTTCAAAGGGAATGCTTCCAGTTATTGTCCATTCAGTATGATATTGGCTGTGGGTTTGTCATAAATAGCTCTTATTATTTGAGATACGTCCCATCAATACCTAGTTTATTGAGAGTTCTTAGCATGAAGGGCTGTTGAATTTTGTCAAAGGCTTTTTCTGCATCTGTTAAGATAATCATGTGTTTTTTGTCTTTGGTTCTGTTTATATGCTGGATTACATTTATTGATTTGCATATGTTGAACCAGTCTTGCACGCTAGGGATGCCAACTTGATCATGGTGGATAAGCTTTTTGATGTGCTGCTGGATTCAGTTTGTTAGTATCTTATTGAGGATATTTGCATCAATGTTCATCAGGGATATTGGTCTAAAATTCTCTCTTTTTGTTGTTGTGTCTCTGTCAGGCTTTGGTATCAGGATGATGTTGGCCTCATAAAATGAATTAGGGAGGATTCTGTCTTTTTCTATTGATTGGAAAAGTTTCAGAAAGAATGGTACCATCTCCTCTTTGTACCTCTGGTAGAACTCAGCTGTGAATCCATCTGGTCCTGGACTTTTTTTTGGTTGGTAGGCTATTAATTATTGCCTCAATTTCAGAGCCTGTTATTGAACTATTCAGAGATTCAACTTCTTCCTGGTTTAGTCTTGCAAGGGTGTATGTGTCCCAGAATTTATCCATTTCTTCTAGATGTTCAAGTTTATTTGTGTAGAGGTGTTTATAGTATTCTCTGATGGTAGTTTTTATTTCCCTGGGCTCAGTGGTGATATCCCCTTTATCATTTTTATTGCATCTATTTGATTCCTCTCTCTTTTCTTCTTTATTAGTCTTGCTAACAGTCTATCAATTTTGTTGATCTTTTCAAAAAACCAGCTCCTGGATTCATTGCTTTTTTGAAGGGTTTTTTTGTGTCTCTGTCTCCTTCAGCTCTGCTCTGATCTTATTTTTTGCCTTCTCTCAGCTTTTGAATGTGTTTGCTCTTGCTTCTCTAGTTCTTTTAATTGTGATGTTAGGGGGTCAATTTTAGATCTTTCCTGCTTTCTCTTCTGGACATTTAGTGCTATAAATTTCCCCCTACACACTGCTTTAAATGTGTCCCAGAGATTCTGGTACATTGTGTCTTTGTTCTCATTGGTTTCAAAGAACATCTTTATTTCTGCCTTCATTTTTTTATTTACCCAGTAGTTAGTCAGGAGCAAATTGTTCAGTTTCCATGTAGTTGTTCAGTTTTGAGTGAGCTTCTTAATCCTAAGTTCGAATTTGATTGCACTGTGGTCTGAGAGACAGTTTGTTGTGATTTCTGTTCTTTTACATTTGGTGAGGAGTGCTTTACTTCCAATTATGTGGTCAAATTTAGAATAAGTGAGATGTGGTGCTGAGAAGAATGTATACTCTGTTGATTTGGGGTGGAGAGTTCTGTGGATGTCTATTGGGTCTATTTGTTGCAGAGCTGAGTTCAGGTCCAGTATATCTTTGTTAACCTTCTGTCTTGATCTTTCTAATACTGACAGTTGGGTGTTAAAGTCTCCCATTATTATTGTGTGGGAGTCTAAGTCTCTTTGTAGGTCTCTAAGGACTTGCTTTATGAATCTGGGTGCTCTTGTATTGGGTGCATATATATTTAGGATAGTTAGCTCTTCTTGTTGCATTGATCCTTTTACCATTATGTAATGGCCTTCTTTGTCTCTTTTGATCTTTGTTGGTTTAAAGTTTGTTTTATCAGAGACAAGGATTGCAACCCCTGCCTTTTTTTGTTTTCCATTTTCTTGGTAGATCTTCCTCCATCCCTTTATTTTGAGCCTATGTGTGATTTTGCGCATGAGATGGGTCTCCTGAATACAGCACACTGATGGATCTTGACTCTTTATCCCATTTGCCAGTCTGTGTCCTTTAATTGGGGCATTTAGCCCATTTACGTTTACAGTTAATATTGTTATGTGTGAATTTGATCCTGTCATTATGATATTCGCTGGTTATATGCCTGTTAATTGATGCAGTTTCTTCCTAGCATTGATGGTCTTTACAACTTGGCATGTTTTTGCACTGGCTGTTACCGGGTGTTTCTTTCCATGTTTAGTGCTTCCCTCAGGAGCTCTTGTAAGGCAGGCCTGGTGGTGACAAAATCTCTCAACATTTGCTTGTCAGTAAAGAATTTTATTTTCTCTTTCACTTATGAATCTTAGTTTGGCTGGATATGAAACTCTGGATTGAAAATTATTTTCTTTAAGAATGTTGAATATTGGCCCCCACTCTCTTCTGGATTGTAGGGTTTCCGCCAAGAGATCAGCTGTTAGTCTGATGGGCTTCCCTTTGTGGCTAACCTGACCTTTCTCTCTGGCTGCCCTTAACACTTTTTCCTACACTTCAACCTTGGTGAATCTGACAATTATGTGTCTTGGAATCACTCCTCTCAAAGAGTATCTTTGTGTTGTTCTCTGTATTTCCTGAAGTTGAATGTTGGCCTGCCTTGCTAGGTTGGGGAAGTTCTCCTGGATAATATCCTGAAGAGTGTTTTCCAACTTGGTTCCATTCTCCTCATCACTTTCTGGTACACCAATCAAATATATATTTGGTCTTTGCACATGGTCCCATATTTCTTGGAGGCTTTCTTCATTTCTTTTTACTCTTGTTTCTCTAACCTTGTCTTCTCACTTTATTTCATTTATTTGATCTTCAATCACTGATACCCTTTCTTCCACTTGATTGAATTGGCTATTGAAGCTTGTGCATGCGTCACAAAGTTCTCGTGCCATGGTTTTCAGCTCCATTGGGTCACTTAAGGTCCTCTCTACACTGTTTATTCTTGTAAGCCATTCGTCTAATCTTTTTTCAAGGTTTTTAGCTTCCTTGCAATGGGTTCCAACATCCTCCTTTAGCTTGGAGACGTTTGTTATTACCAACCTTCTGAAGCCTACTTCTGTCAACTCGTCAAAGTCATTCTCCGTCCAGCTTTGTTCCATTGCTGACAAGGAGCTGTGATCCTTTGGAGGAGAAGAGGTGCTCTGATTTTTAGTATTTTCAGCTTTTGTGCTCTGGTTTATCCCCATCCTTTTGGTTTTATCTACCTTTGGTCTTTGATATTGTTGACCTACAGATGGGGTTTTGGTGTAGATGATCTTTTGTTAATGTTGACACTATTCCTTTCTGTTTTTTAGTTTTCCTTCTAACAGTCAGGACCCTCAGCTGCAGATCTGTTGGAGTTTGCTGGAGTTCCACTCCAGACACTGTTTGCCTCGGTATCACCAGTGGAGGCTGCAAAACAGCAAATATTGCAGAACAGCAAATATTGCTGCCTGATCCTTCGTCTGGAAGCTTCGTCCAAGAGGGGCAGCCGCCTATATGAGGTGTCTGTCAGCTCCTACTGGGAGGTGTGTCCCAGTTAGGCTACACAGGGGTCAGGGACCCACTTGAGGAGGCAGTCTGTCCATTCTCAGAACTCAAACGCCATGCTGGGAAAACCACTGCTCTCTTCAGAGCTGTCAGACAGGGATATTTAAGTCTGCAGAAGTTGCTGCCTTTTGTTCAGCTATCCCCACCCACAGACGTGGAGTCTAGAGGCAACGGGCCTTGTCAAGCTGTGGTGGGCTCCACCCAGTTCAGGCTTCCCTGGCCGCTTTGTTTACCTACTTAAGCCTCAGCAATGGTGGACGCCCCTCCCCCAGCCAGGCTGCCACCTCGCAGATGGATTTCAGACTGTTTCGCTAGCAGTGAGCAAGGCTCCATGGGTGTGGGACCCACTGAGCCAGGCACAGGAGAGAATCACCTTGTCTGCTAGTTGCTAAGACCTTGGGAAAAGTGCAGTATTTGGGCGGGAGTGCCCTGTTTTTCCAGGTAGTCTGTCACAGCTTCCCTTGGCTAGGTAAGGGAAATCCCCCAACCCCTTGTGCTTCCCAGGTGAGGCGACGCCCCATCCTGCTTCAGCTCACCCTCTGTGGGCCTGCACCCACTCTCCAACCAGTCCCAATGAGATGAACCAGTTACCTCAGTTGGAAGTGCAGAAATCACCCATCTTCTCTGTCGATCATGCTGGGAGCTGCAGACCGGAACTGTTCCTATTTGGCCATCTTGGAACTCATCCAGGACATCTGGTAGAAGAAATTTGTAAGCAGCAAAGTGTTCAATTTATGACCTGAGTGCTCTTAAAAGTGTGCAGTTTTATGCATTCACAAAAATATGGTTTTGAATTAGAACTTATGTTTAAAAGGGAGCTGAGCATAAAAGTTTGGAAGATTTGCAGCCTGATGATGTGATAGAAAAGAAAACCCATTTTCTGGGGAGAAATTCAAGCTGACTGCAGAAATTTGCAGAAGTAACAAGGAGCCAAATGTTGATTGACAAGATAATGGGGAAATTGTCTCCAGGGCATGTCAGAGTTCTTCATGACAGCCCCTCCCGTCACAGAGTTGGAGGCCTAGGAGGGAAAAAATGGTTTTGTGGGCCAGGCCCAGAACTTTGCTGCTCTGTGCAGTCTTGGGACTTGGTGTCCTGTGTCCCAGCCATGGTTAAAAGGAGCCAACGTGCAGCTCAGGCTATTGCTTCAGAGTTCAATCCCCAAGCCTTGGCAGCTTCCATGTAGTGTTGGGTTGATATGCTAGTTGGCCATTTGTATTTTTTTTTTGGAAAAAATGTCTATTCAAGTCTATCTTAGTCCACTCCTGCTGCTATAACAAAACACCTTAGGCTGGTAATTTATAAACAACAGAAATTTATTTATTGCGTTCTGGAGTGTGAGAAGTCCAAGATTTAGGCTACAACAGACTCAGTGACTGGTGAGGTCACTATATTCACTATACATAGCACCTTCTCTGTGTCCTCACATGTTCAAAAGGGAAAACAAACTCCCTTAAGCCTCTTTTATAAAGGCCCTAGTCCCATTTCTGAGGGCTATGACTTCATGAACTAATCATCTCCAAAATGCCCCACCTCTTAATATTATCACATTGAATATTAGGCTCCAGCATATGAATATTGGGAGAACATTTGGACCATAGCAAAGTCAACTGACCATTTCCCATTTAGGTTGTTTTGTTATTGAGTTGTTGTTCTGTAAATATTTTAGATATTAACCCCTTATCAGGTATTTGGTTTGCTGGGAGGTTTTTGATTCCTGATTCAGTTACTAGTTATAGGTTTATTAAGATTTTTTATTTTGTGACTTAGTCTTCGTAACTTGCATGTTACTAGGAATCTGTTCATTTCTCCTAGGTTATCCAACTTGTCAGTATATAATCATTCATAGTAGACTCTTAGAATCCTTTTTATTTCTGTAATATCTGTTGCAGTGTCTTCTCTTTGATCCTAAAAGAAGTTGAGTCTTCTTTATTTTTTTTCTTAAATATTCTAGATAATGATTTGTCAGTTTTGTTGAACTTTGAAACAACTACTAGTTTCATTGGGTTTTTTTTCTATTCTCTAGCCTTTTTTTTTTTGAGAAGGAGTTTCGCTCTTATTGCCCAGGCTGTAGTGCAAAGGCGTGATCGCCGCTCGCTGCAACCTCCGCCTCCCAGTTCAAGTGACTCTCCCGCCTCAGCCTCCAGAGTAGCTGGGATTACAGGCATGCACCACCATGCCCGGCTAATTTTGTATTTTTTAGTAGAGACAGGTTTCTCCATGTTGCTGAGGCTTGTCTCGAACTCCCAACGTCAGGTGATCCACCTGACTCGGCCTCCCAAAGTGCTCGGATTACAGTCGTGAGCCACTGCACCCGGCCTTCTGCTCTAGACTTTATTATTTCCTTCCTTTTGCTAACATTGGGTTGAGTTCTTCTTTTTCCAGTTTCTTGAGGTGTAAAGCTAAGTTGCTGATTTTAGATCTTCTTTTTTAAGGTAGGTAGTTAGATATATAAACTGTCCTCTTCATATTAATTTTGCTGCATCCCACAAGCTTTGGAATGTTGTGTTTCCATTTTTATTTGTCTCAAGACATTTTCCAATTTTCCTTGTGACTTATTCTTTGACTATGTATTAATCAGAGTTCTCCAGAGGGTCAGATCTAATAGGAAATATAGATATAGATATAGATATAGATAATAGATATAGATACATATACATGCATCTAAAAGAGAATATATTTACATATATATGAAATATAATTTATTAAGGAGAATTGGCTCACATAATTACAAAGGCAAAGTCCCACAATAGGCCATCTATAAGCTGGAAAATGAGAGAAGCCTACAGCATGGCTCCCAAGGAAGCCAGTGACATGGCTCAGTCCAAATCTGAAAGTCTCAAAACCAGGGAAGCTGACAGTGCAGCCACTAGTCTGAGGCCCAAGGCCTGAGAGCTCCCAAAAGGCTGCTGATGTAAGTTCCAGGGTCCAAAGGCCAAAGAACCTAGAGTTTGATGTGCAAGGGCAAGAGGAGAAAAAGGCTTACTGCTCTGGAAGGGAGAGAAAGTGCATAAAAAAGAAATCCAAGCAAGCTGAATGTTCCCATTCTTCTGCCTTTTTGTTCTAGTCACACTTGCAACCAATTGCATGATGCCTACCCACAGTGAGGATGGGTTTTTCTCTCTCAGTCCACTAACTCATCCATCATTCTCCTGTGGCAGCACCCTCACAGATATACCCACACACAGTGCTTCATCAGGCATCTAAGCATCCCTCAATCAAATTGACAATTAATATTAACCACACAGGCCAATTGGTTAAGAGAGTATATTTTTGTAATTTCCACATATTTATTACTTTTCCTTTTTCCTTCTGCTATGAATTTGTAATTTCATTTAATGTGGTCAGAAAAGATATTTGGTATGAGTTCAGTTTTCTTAAATTTTTAAAAACTTGTTTGTGGACTAGCATGCCATCTATGCTGGAAAAGTCTTGGTATGTACTTGAGAAGAAAGCATATTTTGCTATTATTGGGTGAAGTGTTCTGTATATGTCAGACAGGTCCAATTGGTCTACAATGTTGTTCAAGTTCTGTGTTTTCCAGTTGATCTGTCTGGTTATTGTATCCATAATTGAAAGTGGAATATTGAAGTTTTCTGTTATTATGATGTTGTTATCTATGTTACCCCTCAATTCTGTCTATGTTAGCTTCATACATTTAGATGCTGTACTGTTAGTTGCATATACATTTATAATTGCTATATCTTCTTGGTCAATTGGCCGTTTTATTATTATGTAATATCCTTGTCTCTTGTGCTATTATTTGACTTAAACTCTATTTTGTCTAAGTATGGCCATCCTTGTTCTCTTTTGGTTACCAAAGGCATTGAATATCTTTTTCCATCTTTTCACTTTCAACCTTTGTGCATATTTAGATCTAACATAAGTCTCTTGCATATAGTATATATTTAGATTTTTTTAATCCATTCGGCCAATTCTCTGTCTTTTGATTGGAAAATTAGCCTATTTGCATTTAAAGTAGTTACTGATAGGGAGGGGCTTACTATTGTCATTTTGTTCATTGTTTTATACATGTCTTGCAGATATTTTTTTCCACTTTTCCTCTCTTTCTGCCTCCCTTTATGTTTCACTGATTTCTTTTTTTGGTAGGGACTTGCTTTGGTTCCTTTCTCATTTTTATTTGTGTATCTTCTGTAGGTCTTTTCTTTGTGGTTACTGTAGAATTACATGAAAACATCTTATAGTTATAATAATCTATTTTAAATTGACAACAACTTAACTTTAATCACATACAAAAACTCTACGTCTTTACACCTCCTTCTCACTTTGTTATCAATGTCACACTATATATTTTATATTGTTTATTCACATCATTTAATACAGTAATATTATGCTTTTACCTTTTAAATTCTATGCTTCAATTAAAAGTGAATTACAGGCTGGGTGTGGTGTCTCATACCTGTAGTCCCAGCACTTTGAGAGGCCAAATGGGAGGATCACTTGATCCTAGGAGTTTGAGACCAGCAAGGCCTTATCTCTGCTAAAAATTTAAAAATATTATCTGAGTGTGGTGGTGCATGTCTGTAGTCCCAGCCACTCGGGAGGCTGAGGTGGGAGGATTACTTTAGCCCAGGACTGCAAGGCTGCAGTGAGCCGTGATCAAACCACTGCACTCCAGCCTGGGCAACAGAGCAAGACTTTGTCTCAAAAAAAAAAAGTAAAGGAAAAAAAGTGTTTTGCTTACCACCATTAGGGTATTAAAGGATTCTATGTTCACTCATATATTTACCTTTACCAAAGAAGTTTATATTTTGTATGCTTTTGCATTTCTATCCAATGCCTTTTCATTTCCACTTGGAGGACTCCCTTTAACATGTTTTGTAAGGTAGGTCTAGTGGTGATCAACTCCCTCACCTTTTACTTCTCTGGGGAACTCTTTGTTTGTCTTTCATTTTTGAAATACAGTTTTACTGGCTATACAGTTCTTGGCTGACAGTTTTTTTTTTTTCTTTCAGCCCTTTTAATATATCATCCCATTCTCTTCTGGCCTGTAGAGTTTTTGCTGAGAATTCCATTGATAACCATATGGCATCTCCCTTGTATGTGACAAGTTGCTTTGATCCTGTTCCTTTCAAAATTCTCTCTTTGTCTTTGACTTTTGACAGTTTGATTGTAATGTGTCTCATTGTAGGTCTTTTGCAAATTATCCAACTTGGAGTTCTTTGAGCCTCTTGGATTTGTATGTCCATTTCCTTCTTTAAGTTTGAGAAGTTTTTGGTCATTATTTTTTTAACTGGCTCTCTGCCCCTTTATTTTTCTCTTCTCCTTCTGGCACTTTCATAATGCATACATTGGTCTGCTTGATGGCATCCTGTAAGTCTCTTAGGCTGTCTTCACTCTTCACTCCTTTTCCCTTTTGCTCCTCTGACTCCATAATTTCAAATGACTAGTCTTCCATTTCACTGATTCTTTCTTCTGCTTGATGTTATTGAAACTGCCTTTGCAAAAATTATAACTGAAGAAATTATGACAGCAAAAGACATCAGACTTAATCAACTGCATCTTGCTTCTAGCGTTTAAACTGTCCTTGTTCATTCCTGGCAGTAGGATGAACTAATTTTGGGAAGATATTCAGTTCATGGTTTGACTCTGAAACAAAGTTGATAATAGCCATTTCCCAAAAAGATCCCCTTCTTGCCTGGAACCAGTTTGCCTTTGCAGGATAAACAAATTAGCTACAACATTAGAAATTACAGTTGAGGGGTTATGCAGCCTTGGCTCCAAGAGTCTGAACCTCTCCAAATTGCTCCTGGGGATAACATCACTATTGTAAAACCTAAAATCAGTGCTTGAGATATTTTGCAGACCCTGCACTGGATGAATCAGCTGACACCACCCAGACTGGTAATATGGCTCAACTAGTTCTGCCACCCCACCCACAAACAGAAGACAGCAAGAAAACATCACTTCAACCCTGTATGATTTCATCTCCAACCTGATGAATAAGCAGTCCCCACTTCCCAAGCCCCTACCTGCCAAATTATCTTTAAAAGTTCTGATCCCCGAATGCTCAGGGAGACTGATTTGAGGAATAATAAAACTCTGATCTCCCGCACAGCCGGCTCTACCTGAATTACTCTTTCTCCATTGCAATTCCCCTGTCTTGATAAATCAGCTCTGTCTAAGCAGGGCATGAGGTGAACCCATTGGGCAGTTACACAGTCTATTGATGATTTCCGATAGTGAATTTTTCAATTGAGCTATTGCATTCCTTAGCTCCAGAGTCTCTGTATGGTTCCTTTTTTTTTTTTTTTAGTTTCTATCTCTGTTAATATTTTCATTTTGTTCTGAATTATTTCCTGCTTTCACTTAGTTGTCTATTTCTGTTGTCACTGGGCTTCATTAAGAGAGTTAATTTGGATTCTTTGTCAGGTAACTCATTTATCTATTCCTTTAGGGTTGGTTTCTGGAGATTTATTTTGCTCCTTTAATTTAGTCATCGGGTTTCTCTGTTTCTTCTTATGTCTTGTTATTTTTTATTTATTTTTGCCCAGATTTGGGTGTTTGAAAAAACTGCCACTTATCCCAGTTTTTCTCAGCTGGCTTCATATGGAAGACCTTCATACCTGAATCAGCATGGCTATAGGTTCCAGCAGCCTCTCAAACTTTTTCTGGGAATGCATCTTCTTTGGGTTTATACATTGCAACATCCCAAGTAGAGGTTTGCCAGTTTCTTTTTCTGGAGCTGTTGCTCCCTCTGGTATCTGTCTGTGGTACTGCAGGTTCCCTGGTGCTGCATCATCTCTGACCTCTCCTTTATTCCCAGTGGCTCCCATGCATCCAAAGTATGCCAGTTGGGCGTCAAGTTAGAGAGAGAGAGAGCTTCAGGTAACCTCATAAAACTATTCCATTCCAGTCTTCTCTTTCCCTGCTAACGGAGAAGCTGCAAGTTCAGTGCTTCCCAGCCAAACCAACCTGTTCGAGCTTGGGGAAGGGGTATCATGAGTATAATGCAACAGCTTTTCTTATTTGTTCAATGCCACTATTCTTGGCTTTGCACTTGTCTGTGCTACTACAACTTCTTAATGGTTTATGGAACTCCATAAAGGCTTTTAGACCATATGTAGTTTTTCAGTTGGTATCTTTATGGAGAATCAAGGTTTGGAGCTTCCCATTCCACCACCTGGCTGACATCACTCTGTTTATATTATTTTTTATTTTTATTATATTTTATTTTCTTGAGACAGGATCTTACTCTGTCAGCCAGGCTAGAGTGCAGCCTCGAACTCCTGAGCTCAAGGGACCTCCTCCCTCAGGCTACTGAGTACTTGGACTATAGGCACACACCACATACCGGGCTAATTTCTTATTTTGTTGTGAAGATGGGGTTTCACTCTGTTGCCCAAGTTGGTCTCAACTCTTGGGCTCAAGCAATCCTTCTGCCTTGGCCTCCCAAAGTGCTGGGATTAAAGGTGTGAGCCCACCATGCGCTGCCTGTTATATTTAGTAGAAAATATATCTAAAAATATACTTACGTACTATATTGAATCCACTACCCAGAGCTTAACTGAACTATTTTTGTGACTCATTCTGTTTTTTTGTTTTTTGCTTTTTACTTATTACAATGAACTACAAGTATGGATATATTAATATTAATTAATATAAAATATACTGGAATCTTTTGTATTTTTTTTCCTTTTTTCTTCACCAAAAGCAGAAACTTAAATACACTGAAATCTTAAATGACCCTTGAGTGTTTCTAGGACTGACCCTGGAACAAAATTTTTCATGTTGTTATTACATTGTTCTTTTCATGTTAAAATCATTTGTTTCTTTTTCATATAGTACATCAAAGAAGAATTGTTAATATAGCCCTTACCAGCCATATGCTAAGTGCCACAAGTGTTTCGGTCTCTCTCCATTCTTGTACCTCACTTGGTCTTTTTTTTTTTTTCTTTTGGAGGTGTAGCCTTCATCTTTCACCCAGGCTGGAGTGTGGTGGCACGATCTCAGCTCACGCAACCTCTGCCTCCCAGGTTCAAGTGATTCTCCTCCCTCAGCCTCCTGAGTACCTGGGACCACAGTTGTGTGCCACCAGGCCCACCTAATTTTTGTATTTTTAGTAGAGATGGGGTTTCATTATGTTGGCCAGGCTGGTCTTCAACTCCTGACCTCAAGTAATCCACCCTCCTCAGCCTCCCAAAGCGCTGGGATTACAGACATGAGCCACTGCACCCGGACTACCTCACTCTGTCTTTTAAATTGGCTAATGTAAGGGGAGCATCTTGTGCTTGTTAAGTCTTTGTTTTCTTGCCTATTTATATAATGGACATTTCTGAGTTGTGTGTATATATTAAATTATTTGAGAGCATATTTTTAATGTACTAAATAGATCTACATGTTTTCATACATGTCATTATAAAAAGACCATTTGCATATATTTGTTCTATAAAATGCTTACTTTTCTTCATGAACCACCTAGATTTGTTTTTCTGATGTGTAGTGTATGTGAAAATGTTTCTTTGTGAATTTTTTTTTTTATTGTGTGCCCCTACAGGTGGTATGCTTAATAACGCCATAGCCTCTATAAGGAACGTATGTATTAGTCTGCTGGCAGGAATTGTTTTGGGATTTTTTTGTTCGATATTTTCCAAGTGAAGACCAGGTGAACACAAAATCTATTTTATAGAAGTATAGTATTAGACATTTTTTTCAAAATATTAAACTTTGGTAAGATCCATGAAATTTAATACTTAACCCTATTTTTCTAAAACTAGCCTCCAATGCCTACTCTGTATTTAAAACTGAGCACAGCAGTGATTGATACAGGTCAATGGCTTTGATTAAAGTCTCTGCTTCCTGATTTGGCAAATAAGGAATGTCAAAAAATATACTTAATGCAGAGTATCCCTCTGAATTATACTTTCCCTTTCTCTACTAAATTGCCTATTGATGTTTGATAATTTCCCCCAAATTTTCCCTTAAACATTTTAGGGGGAGATAGGTTCCCATTTATTTCTTCATATTTTCTGACTGAAATTCACTCCTGCTATCCTTTGACAAAGGCAACACTCAAACTTAGCCATTTCCTGCCTTAAAGGAAAACATGCCATTACTTTTGTATTTCTGTAATTTCCATCCAAATTTAGCTGTAACATATTGACCAAAGAGATATTCAAATATTTTTTAAGAATTCATTGGGTATGTTATATGAAACTGGAGATTTTATGGGTCTCTTTTCTTCTTCACTTAAAGTAATACTTTAACCATTTTACTGATACTAGTATCAGAGATGTGGCAGAAGATGAAACGTTACTAGTCGGAAATTTTGTTACTTGGTAGTAAGTCTGCTAAAATGTATGGTGAGAAAGAAAATCGAAATTTTAGACATTTAATATAACATTTAAAGACATAATATCAAAGGGTCAAACATATATAATAGATAATGTCAAATCTTATATATTTAATATAAACTAATTTCTAAATATCTATCTAATTCTAGAAAAAACTTACATTGAAGAGAGGATTCCTTGTTTTGACTACGTGTGTTTCTG
This sequence comes from Homo sapiens, assembly GCF_000001405.40. Taxonomy (NCBI): domain Eukaryota; kingdom Metazoa; phylum Chordata; class Mammalia; order Primates; family Hominidae; genus Homo; species Homo sapiens. Next base: position 410,397 of record NW_021160024.1, on the reverse strand, counting down.
CTGTCTTAGGCAGCCAACGTATTGGTTTACATGGATCTGGAGGATTATGCACACTAGTGTTGAGTTTCATTGCAGGGACAAAATGGTCCCAAGAAAAGGTGAATATTTTTAATATGCTATATTTTAAAAGCTAAGACAACTGAATTTTTTTGCATATATTTAGGAAATCCCCTCATTCTGGTTGGAAAATATTCCAAAAGGTTTGCTATCCTCAAGAAAGTGTATGAATCAATTGAGGAAATAAAATATTTAGGAAAAGCAGGTAGAAATATACTAATATGGAATCAGAAGTTCAGTTAATCACATCAGGCTTCTCTTTTTCCCAAGTTTTATATAATATTATTATATTACTTATATCAATCTAATTATTTTATTCATTGAAATTTTAATTATACAATTAATCCATGAAGAATGTTTGTAAAAGGCCAGGCACGGTGGCTCATGCCTGTAATCCCAGGACTTTGGGAGGTCGAGGTGGACAGATCACCTGGGGTCAGGAGTTTGAGACCAGCGTGGCCAACATGTTGAAACTCCATCTCTACTAAAAATACAAAAATTAGCTGGGCATGGTGGCTTGGTGGTGGGCACCTGTAATTCCAGCTACTCAGGAGGCTGAGGCAGGAGCATTGCTTGAACCCAGGAGGTGGAGGCTGCAGTGAGTCGAGATCATGCCATTGCACTCCAGCCTGGGCAACAAGTGCAAAACTCCATCACACACACACACAAAAAAATAAACAAACAAATAAATAATAAAAATAGAAATGCTTGTAAAAGCATAAAACATATAGAATAAAACATAAAAGATTTCTTTATTCCCTACCACTGTCAAATATCTAACCCCCTTACATTTTTTTAAGTAACCAGTATTCTATTTATAGACATTAAGATCGTTTCCACTTTTTGTTATTTACAAACAGTGCTGTCATAAACAGTGTTGTTCATGTCTTTTTTTTTTTTTTTTGAGACACAGTTTCACTCTTGTCACCCAGGCTGGAGTGCAGTAGCATAATCTTGGCTCACTGCAACCTCCACCTCCTGGATTCAAGTGATTCTTCTATTTCAGCCTCCCTAGTAGCTGGGATTACAGGCGCGCACCACCAGGCCCAGCAAATTTTTGTATTTTTAGTAGAGACGGGGTTTCACCATGTTGGCCAGGCAGGTCTTGACCTCCTGACCTCAGGTGATACTCCTGCCTCGGCCTCCCAAAGTGTTGGGATTACAGGTACATCTGTAGGAATAGAGTCCCAGACATGATTTTTTTTTTTTTTTTTTGAGACAGAGTCTCTGTCTGTGTTGCCCAGGCTGGTCTCAAAATCCTGAGCTCAAGGGATCCTCCCAACTTGACATTGCAAAGTGCTAGGATTACAAGCATGAGCTACCACACCTGGCTGGAAATGATCTGTGTTTTATTTTGATGGACACTGCTAAATTATCCCTCCAAAAATTTTGGTTATTTACACTCTGCCAACAGTGCACAAAAATATCTAATACCTTAACTCATCAACAGCACTTGATATTATCACTAGTTCTATTCTTTTTACTATTAAATGACCTCACCATCCAATTCTTATAGTTTCTTACAATTATGTGATGTTGTTATTCTTTATTTACATTTCTCTGATTGGTAGTATAGTCAGCTTCTCTTCATATATTCTTTTTAAAATACCTATGATCTTCTTTGACCATTTTTATTGGGTTATTTATTTTTTTGTTTCTAATTTATAGTTTCTCTTAGTGTTAGGGCTACTGATCCTTTGTTATGTATATATTGATATAATTTTTGCTTATCTTCAACTTTGTTTATGGTGTCTGGTGTATGAAAGTAAAATTTCCTATGACCAAACCTATTGGGTTTTCCTTTTTTGGTTTTGGATTCTGCATCTCATTTAAGAAGGACTTTCTCACTGAAGATTATAACATATAAACATTACAAAGATATACTATTTTGTGTATTATCATTTAATATTTTGGTAGTTTTTGTTTGTTTAATTTGTTTTTTCATTTAGTCTTTTAATCTATCTGGAATTTATCTTTGTGAATGCTGTAAGGTAAGGTTATACATATATACATATGTGTATCTTACAAACTATATATATATATATACACATACACACATACAGTTTGTAAGTTAACTGAACAGAGATAGTACTACATCATGCCTGATGTGTGTGTGTATATATGTATATATACACACACATAATATATATACATATTCAGACACACATATATACTTGCATGTGATGAATATGTACATACAGATATATGCACATAAACTAGACAGTCATTTTTTGCCAAATTGTTTATTTATTGACCAATTCATTAATAATTCAGTTTTTTAACATGAACTAAATTCTCCCATATATATTAACTCTGAAGTCTATTTAATCCTACTTCTCTATTTCTATGCCAATACCACTGTTTTAAATCACTGCAGTTTTATGTGTCAAAATCTAATATAGATTATTCTTCTTTTTAAAGTATTTTTTGGCTGTTCCTACACATATTCTTTCTTAGATAAATTTTAGAATCAGCTTGAGAAGTTCCCTAATCAAAAATCATAGTGGCATTTTGCTTAGTATTCTTATATAATCATAATTAAAAAAGAAATGAAATGAATGAAATGCAAATCAATAAATAAAATTAAAACTGCTAGAATTTTTTTAAATGGTAAAAGAAACAGAACTAAAACAAGTTTTAAAGATTAAAAGTAACAAATAGGATAATTATGCTGTAAAGAGTAGTAACATCGTTTTTCTTTGTTTTTCTTTTTTTAAACTATAATAAGTGGGGATCAGAAAACACAGTCATAAGGGAAATAGTTATGAAGATAGTTTATGCCTCAAGGAAGAGACATCAAAGTTCTTATGTATCTTCTGTTTAAAAAAAAATTAAACCCAGACTGAGACTGGGTTTAATCTCTTCATCCAAATTCCTGGAGAAGAGCCAGAGTAATGTAGGCCAATAGGGGCCTTTCCTGTAACCTTTTAACTGGGGAAGTAGCACTGGGAGGCATTCGTTTCCAGAAAGGGAAGCTGGGTAGGCAGCTAAATGAGAATCTAATATATATTTTGGTTTTGTTTTAAGGAAAAAGTAACTTTAAAGTATTCAACATGGGTTCTTTGGAAGCAGGCCTTACAGACTTCCAAATTGTTTTTCCTAGTAGTATATGCTATATATATCAGGATTCACTTTAATGGGATTGAGTTCCAGGATGGTTGTTAGTGGAAGGCTTCCCAACCCCCTTCTGAGAACCCAAATGTTTGCATGAACTCGGTATGTTCTCATCAGGCATGATGTAGTTCTATCTCTGTTCAGTTAACTTAGAGACAAAATCTGGAACTCATACGAAACATGGCTAGAACCCTAAGGACATCACTTATTCTGTGACAAAATGGCCAAATAGTATTATTTTATTGCTTTGTGAGTCTCTTTTAATCAAATTCTACCTGTTTGAGTAAAACTATTGAAGTGCTCAGTTTTTATTATTTAAGTTTAACATTTTTATTAAAATAAAGCGTCTTAAATTTATTAAAAGCTAAGTGACTTTAGGCCAGGCATGGTGGCTCATGTCTATAATGCCAGTGCTTTGGGAGGCCACAGCCAGAGACCACTTGAAGACAGGAGTTCTAGACCATCCTGGGCAATATAGCGAGACCCCGTCTCTATAAACAATTTAAAAATTAGCCCAGCATGGTGGTACACAACTGTAGTTCTACTTGGGAGACTGTGAGAGGATCACTTGAGCCCAGGAGTTCAAGGCTACAGTGAGCTATGATTATGCCACTACACTCCAGCCTGGGCAACAGAGCAAGACCCCATCTCTAAAATACTTAAAAAGTGAAAAAAAAAAAAATGGTGAGGGAGACTTTAACTTTCTGAAATATATTTATGTGCCAAAATAATTATAAATGTATTTCTCTTTTCTATAGATGAAAGTCCAAAAGATTATTACAAATGTATGGGATATTTTTCAACCACTTCTTTTTGGTTTAGTTGGAGCAGAAGTATCTGTTTCATCACTTGAATCAAATATTTTTGGTAAGAATAATTACAGCACAAAAAATATGAAATTCAAAAATATTTAAGAAAATTATAAATACATTTATTTTTATTTACAATATATCTTTGAATGGCTACAAGGACCTTCTTCAGAAACACATGTTGATACAGTATCATATTTTCATATTGCTCTCCCTTTACACTGTGTGCTCTTTTTTTTTTAAACCAACCAAGGACAGCCCTGAATATCTTCCCTGAGTTATCTAAGGAAATAAATATAAGATTTCTTTCCTGAGGGAATATATTTGATACGATCAGCACTTTTTGAGTACTTTCATTTAAAACTATTGGCTGGGTGTGGTGGCTCATGCCTGTAATCTTAGCACTTTGGGAGGCTGAAGCGGGCAGATTTCTTGAAGTTAGGAGTTCAAGACCTGCCTGGCTAACATGGGGAACCCCATCTCTCCTAGAAATACAAAAATTAGCCAGGTGTGGTAGTGCACGCCTGTAATCCCAGCTACTCAGGAGGCTGAGGCAGGAGAATCACGTGAACCCGGGAGTCGGAAGTTGCAGTGAGCTGAGATTGTACCACTGCACTCCAGCCTGGGCGACAGAGCAAGAATCCTTCTCAAAAAGTAAATTATTATTAATAATAATAAAAATATTCAAAAAAAGTCTATTAGTTCAGAATTGTATAAATGTCATCTGTCTTATTTTTCATGGTACCTCCACCATCAGATACTGTCTTGCACTTTACAGAGAATCCTCCATCATATTCATTTTTTATTATCATTGTTTTATGTAAAAATTAAACACATGAAGAGACAATAGCCTTAAAATGCTTTCAAAAGTTTTAGAAATCATATTCCTGGGCATAAAGAACACTTCTTCACAAATATTTTGTTATTTATGTTTGTTTTCATCTGTTGTAGGCATATCTGTTGCTACTCTGAGTTTGGCATTATGTGTTCGAATTTTAACCACATATCTATTGATGTGCTTTGCTGGTTTTAGTTTTAAGGAGAAAATATTTATTGCTTTAGCATGGATGCCCAAAGCTACAGTACAGGTAAGAACATATTAAGCCTATTGCTTAATGCTTTCGTTTTGATGCTTTTAAAATTTAAAATGAAAAATGTTACTCCAATCACAAAATATGAGTTATTATCCTTACTTTTTAAATGTTTGATTGATCATAACTATTCATTAAAATTAACGTAACCAGTCCCAGCTACTCAGGAGGCTGAGATGGGAGAATCACTTGAACCCAGGAGGCAGAGGTTGCAGTAAGTTGAGATGGCACAACTGTACTCCAGTCTGGCAACAGAGCAAGACTCAATCTCAAATAAATAAATAAATAAATAAACAAAAACAAACAAAGAAACTCAATGTAACCTTTTTCTATTTTTATTTTTATTTTCATTTTGAGACCAGGTCTCACTCTGTCACCCAAACTGGAGTGCAGTGGCATGATCACGGCTCACTGCAGCCTCAACCTCCTGGGCTCAAACAATCCTCTCACATCAGCCTCCTGAGTAGCTAGGATCACAGTCACCTGCCACCACACCCAACTGCTTTTTTTCAGATTTTTTTTTTTTGAGACAGTCTTACTCTGTTGTCCAGGCTGGAGTGCAGTGGCATGATCTCAGCTCAATGCAACCTCCACCTCCCAGGTTCAAGCGATTCTCCTGCCTCAGCCTCCTCAGTAGCTGGGATTACAGGTGCACACCACCACGCCCAGCTAATTTTTGTATTTTTAGTAGATATGGGGTCTCACCATGTTGGCCAGGCTAGTCTCAAACTCCTGACCTCAAGTGATCCACCTGTCTCAGCCTCCCAAAGTGCTGGGATTACAGGCATGAGCTACTGCGCCTGGCCTTTTCTTTCTGATTTTTTTGTAAAGAGGAGGTCTTGCTATGTTGCCCAGGCTGATCTTGAACTCCTAGGTTCAAGTGATCTTCCTGCCTCAGCCTCCTAAAGTTCTGGGATTACAAGCATAACCCACTGGGCCTAGCCAATGTAACCTTTTGAAATCTCAGTTTTAAAAGCAATTATTTTGAAATCAAAAAGCATTCTTTCAATAAGTACTTCCTAAGTTTATGAAAATATGTTTTTTATTTTCCTAAAATATATAATAAGAATATATCTGAAAATTGGAGTTTTTATATTTTGCTGAATATAACAAAGCTAAATGTTATGATTTTAAAAAGTAGAGACACAGGCCAGGCATGGTGGCTCATGCCTGTAATCCTAGCACTTCGGGAGGCTGAGGCAGACAGATCACTTGAGCTCAGGAGTTCAAGACCAGCCTGGGCAACATGGTAAAACCCCTGTCTCTACAAGAAATACAAAAAAATTAGTCAGGTGTGGTGGCACGCACCTGTAGTCACAGCTACTTGGGGGCTGAGGCAGGAGGATTTCTTGAACTCGGGAGGTTGAGGCTGCAGTGAGCTGAGGTCATGCCACTTCACTCCAGCTTGGGTGACAAAGTGAGATCCTGTCGCAAAAAAAAGTAAAGTAAAATAGAGACACATTGATTTTTTAAAAAATACTTTTCCTACCTTGCCACTCACTCCATCACACAAATGCACATATATTTTTTTATTACACATTTATTTGTATACTATTTGGTTAATGGCTAAATCCCTGCCCCCGCCCCCTTGATAGGCTATGTAAGGACAGGGACAGTGTCTGGTTGTTGCAGTTGTTTTTCATTATTTCTCCCTGGCACTTAACACAGTGCCTGACATGCAAGAGGCAAATACGTATTGCATGCCTGCAAGGATGAATGAACGGAAAGGGAAACCTTGTAATTTTGCCCTGTTATTCAAGGATATTCTCCTCCTACTAAAATATATTGCTACTTCTTGTTAGACTGTTTAACTTGGCAGCATAATATACCTTAATTTCCTGTGGCTCTTTTCTTAGTTGTTATTCCAAAACAGAAGCTCCTAAATTTTCATGCAAAAAAACCCCTATTATCATGTTAGAAAAGCAGGTTCTTAGGGCCAGACTACCTGTTTTGAATACCATGTTACTTGCCTATAACCTCAGGAAAATTATTTTCTAGTCTCTCAGTCCTTCAGTGTTCTCATCTTACAATGAAGTCTATGACTGTATCTGTTTCTTAGCAGTGTTGTCAGGATTCAATGAGATAATCCACTTAAAGTGCTTAGCACTCTCTCTGGCATATGGTGGTGCTCAGTTAACAAACAATGTTGTTATTTTATCTTACCTTCAAGTAATATAAATAATAACTTTTTATTTTTAATATCTACTGTAGGGAATAATAAATCTACAAAAGGCTTATCTGTTCTCTCTCCTTCCAACAATACTCTTGCAATTTTGTTTCATTATTTCATAATTTTCATAAAGCAGGGAAAAAAGAAAAGCAGGTATGAGGAAAGAGACCACTCACTCGAGTCCTGCAGTATTATTCTGCTTCTGCCTATTCATGTCTGCTGGCTCCAGGCTAGCTTCTACACAAAGAATATCAAGCTGGTTCCAGGAACTGGCAAGACATAAAAAATTAATTATTTATACAAGTAGAGTCACAACAGCGATAATAGATAACAATAATGTCACAAGTAAATACGATCAACAAATATTTAAATTTCAATTTTAAATTATTTTCACCTTTATCCTCTTCCACCGTTCTCTGCTGCTAAAATAAAATTGGCTAAGGTTCAGCTTTCTCTTGTTCCTTAGTTTCGAGTTACTGATAAAAATTAGACTGGAAAAATAGAAGCTACTAGGAGAGTAAATAAATAATTTAGTTTACAAATGTAAGATCAGCTTGGCAATTGGATTTTTTTAAAGAAATAATATTAAATCTCAGTCACTAGGAGGAAATCATTTATCATCTAATAAAAGTTCTCACATAATAAGGTTGTCATAAGAATTAAATGAATTGATAAATGGAAAGCTTTAAGAATGATACCTGACATATGATGAATGCCATATAACTATAAAAATATTATTTCTAGTTTCACCATTATCGTCATCATCTCTTAAAAATCAATGGGTTTGGTTTTTGTTTTTGTTTTTTTCTGTTGGCAGTTCTTTTATGTTCAAATCCTCTTCTAAACTGTAAGATTCTTTCAAGGTGGTTTTCTGCATGATTTTTTTTTTTCACCCTAGCATCCTCCAGCACACTGGATCATGTTCAGTACATTAAAAGTTATGATATAAAAATAATACCATTTTAAATTATTGATTTAGGATATAGAAATTGATCTTAAATTGAGGACTTCTTTTGCCATAATTTTCCATATCAGAGGTAATGTTTCTACCATTATGTTGTCACTTTGCAACTCCATAGAAAATATGTTACATATTGGTATTTAATTCCCCCAAATTTTAAGGCAATTTCATGCCTAGTTATTAAACACAAGGAAAGAGAGTTAGCAAGAAATTTGCTTTATGTTATTAAAAATAATGTGGTAGAAGGTAACTAGGGAAAAAACTTGTGACCCAGTAGTCATTCTAAAACAAAAACTTCAAAGGAACTCATTCTCTGACCTGGCAGGGGATGAGGAGTGAAGGAGAAAGAAACTTACTACTATCTGAATATCTACTCTGTGCCAGGTATTCTTCACATTCTCATATTTAATTTTCACAACCGTCCAGTAACATAAGTATTTTGTTCTTCGTTTTACACGGAAGTAAGTAGAAGGTTAGAGAGTGTGAGTCATTTGTACAAGGTCACTAGCTTGGTTGCAGCAAAAATAGAATTCAAACTCAGTTTGCTAAATTCCAAGCCTGCTGTCAGTTCTGCTATAACCCAGTGCCCCCTGAATAAGGAGAACAATGATAAGAAGGGCAACAAATCCTAGAGAACCATAAGAAAACTTAATATTTTATTTTATCTTCTTGTAGTCAAAAACCACTGGTACACGATAAAGGCAACTAAGCAAAACCAGTTTCGTTAGAACTCCTGGTGTTATGAGGGCAACACTCAAAAGAGATATTTGAATAGAGGAACACTGAGAGGACAAGAGTGCAAAATCAGCCCAAAAATGTTTGCATGCTGATTTGTCACTATTGTACTCTTCCTCCACATATATTTGCTAGGAAGAACATGGAACTGATGAGTAACTTATGAAAATTACTGAGTACTTTTTTTTCTAATAGTCTAGTACTAGATTTTGTTTATTTTGACAGAGCCATTTACATTATATATTAACTCAGTTTAATATTTTTCTTTATGCCCCATTTTTACCCCTAAATGTAGGCTGTGTTAGGTCCTCTGGCTCTAGAAACAGCAAGAGTCTCCGCACCCCACTTGGAACCATATGTGAAGGATGTGATGACAGTAGCATTTTTAGCCATCTTGATCACAGCTCCAAATGGAGCTCTACTTATGGGCATTCTGGGGCCTAAACTGCTTACACGCCATTATGATCCAAGCAAAATAAAACTGCAATTGTCAACATTAGAACATCATTAAAAAGTTTACCTGTCATCATCTGCCTGCTGCTTTTAATGAATTATTTCACAAGACAGAAGAATTTTAAAGTAGAAATATGTAGGGACTGTACAGAAAATCCAGGATTTAGTAAACATGTGATTTCAGTACAGGGCTTTTCTTGGACTTTTTACTCCAAAGTTAATTTAATAAAAATAATATTAAATGGAATGCTCTCTTGGTATTTACATACTGTAAGAACAAATTAAATCTGCAAATACCCTAGGAAAGTTTAAAGTAATCCCTCAGGCTGAATTTGATATCATAATACAAACTGAGCTTAATATAAAATTAAACAAACTTAATGGCAGAAAGAAAAACTTTGAATATTGAACTTGGTAAGATAGCCTAAGTTTCCATATAGGAGGAGTAGAACTCCCCATGATGTCCAGTAATTCAGTTAAAAAGATCACTACAAAAAGAAAAAAAAAAGGAGTAAAACACATCAACTTTAAATGGGTTAACTGAATAGATTTTAAATTCTGGTCTTGGTGACTACCTGAATAAATAATATGTTAAGTAATAGAACCAAGTTAGTCTTTCCTTATTTCTGCCATGCCCTTAAAATGAAAGTCTGGTTTAGCAGTTTTTAGATGAAACACTATCTATATTTTTATTTCTAGAAATAAAATTAAATCACAAATGGAAGTAAACTATATTTTTTTCAATTAGTATTTTAAAATCTAGGCATAAAAGGCAGACTCCAAAAATGAAAGATTTGGAGACTACTGTCATGTGGCAGTTTCTTCTCCTTAGTAATATAGAATTACTTTTTAATTCTGGCTGATTAAATCTGCCATGTTTATGTAGAACCCATCACAAGCAAAGTGAGTTTTAATTAACTTCAAGACTCTTTATTTTAAAGTTATAAGAGTCATATAAACACTTCTAAAATGGCCTTATTGAATGGCATTTTAGAAATTGTTTAGACTTCTTTGGCAAAAGCTCAATGCAAGGACTGAATATTACTCTCATTCCTCTTTTTCCTCTTCTCCACAAGCAAGATATTAAAATACCACAGAATATGAAATTTACACATAAATTTGCCAAGTGAAGCAATTAAAATTTAAGGCAATCAAAACTATGTGTTATTCCTATTAAGACTAAGGGCTTTTACAGAATATATCACCGAAACTGCCAAACGTTCTAAAACCATCTGGGAAAAAACTCTTAGAAAATACACTCTGGGAGAATAACTCTGGGAAAAGATAAAATAGCTCCTGTTTTAGTGACATTTTCTCTTTATAGTTTTACAACAAAGTACAGACTCCATTTTCAAATATTGTAATTCTAGTACTCAAATTCTAAAAATTTAAACTGTGCCAGTGTTTTGACTACTATTTAAATCATGAGGACATCTCATTGTCACTTATAAAAAAATAAAAATATAGGCAGGTTGTTGTGGCTCATGCCTGTAATCCCAGCACTTTGAGAGGCCAATGCGTGCAGATCACGAGGTCAGGAGTTCGAGACCAACCTGACCAACATAGTGAAACCCCGTCTCTACTAAAAATACAAAAATTGTCAGGTGTGGTGGCACGCACCTGTAATCCCAGCTACTCAGAAGGCTGAGGCAGGAGAATTGCTTGAACCCAGGAGGCAGAAGTTGCAGTGAGCTGAGATCACACCACTGCACTCCAGCCTGGGAGACAGAGCAAGACTCTGCCTCAAAAAAAAAAAAAATAAAATATATGTATATATATATATATATATATATTTATTTACAAGATAGTATTTTACATTCACAAGAGTATTAGATTTCAAAGTAGAAAGTTTATTTTAATAAAAGAGAGATAAGAAATAATTTTCAAAATGAGGAATTGTGTTTTTGATTAGGAGGAAAATTGTTGTACCTATTCTTTTTATTCTTTATTTATTGAACTTTCTCTAAGTGTCTGTGATATATGTTTATTATACTGAAATAGTCGCCATTTTAAGGTAGTGTGGCAGATGTTGTTATTTATTTGAAATTATAAGTTTTTATTTATAAAAAGTTTTTATAAAAATTTATTAATATAATTTAAAAATTACAACCAGTTAACCATGTGTATGATATTAGTGTTTATAGTATTTAAACAAATAAGGCTGAGCACAGTGGCTCACACCATCCCAGTACTTTGGGAAGCCAAGGAGGGTGGATCAGAAGGTCAGGAGAAGGAGACCATCCTGGCTAACATGGTGAAAACCTGTCTCGACTAAAAATACAAAAAACTAGACAGGCATGGTGGCAGGTGCCTGTAGTCCCGGCTACTCGGGAGGCTGAGGCAGGAGAATCACTTGAACCTGGGAGGCAGAGGTTGCAGTGAGCCAAGATCACACCACTGCACTCCAGCCTGGGTGACAGAGCGAAACTCCATCTCAAAAAAATAAAATAAAATAAAATAAAATAAAATAACAAATAAATACAAGATTGTTGCTTCTTATAAATTTTTTTTGTATCTTTGCCTATTTTTTTCACTGTTTAAGGAATTTTTATTAAAGCAAAATTTTATAATCCAAATTACCTTTCCTTGCTCAGTTATCAATTCTGTTACTTAAAACAGAAGTGACATTCTTAGCTATTCCACACTAATGAATTACAAAATTAAAGGAATGCTTTAAATTTTTATACTTTGCTGAAAATTATTTATCACAGAGTCTGAAAAGCATTACAGTGTTTTTATATTTTATTATTTTGGGAGGATTTTTTCTTTTCAAATCAATAAGTAATCTAGGACTATCATTGCATTTGTTAGATCTGACATTTGCTTGGTATGTAAAGTTCAAAGTTTCCTTTTTAAATTTATTTTATACTTTACAAATTTTTTCCATAGTATTTAAGGTTTTTGATATTGAGATATTTTTCTTCAGTGATGCTCAAGTTTCTTTCTGTGGTCCCTGATCAGTTTTAAACAATTGGAACACCAGTGGCACCATTAACTGCTTTCTGGGCAGCCTCTTTAGCTTGGTGGTCTTGTAGTACAGCTATACCTTTGTCAACCTTAGTATAGAGAGGCTCTGGAGATTCAAGCATATGAAGGAGTTCTAAATTACCAATCTGCAACAACTTGCCAATGATTTTACCAGCACGACTAGGGCATGGCTTGAAGAAGAGGAAACAGCCATTCACTCATTTCCTTTTGCTTTTGAGGAGGAGCAGATGCCATCATGGAAGTCAAAGGTTCTTGACCTTCTACATGAACAGCAGGCTGCTGCATGGTAATCTGGGGCTGTGCATGAAAATGCCATTGAGGATTGTGAGCTTCCATAGCATATTTATACTGTGAAATGGTACAAACAGCAGGAGTATCTGTAGTAGCCATAGCGGCAACTGCAGGATGTGCTCCTATTTTCTGTGTCGATGTGTTACAACAGCTGTGTTGACATGATTTGTGGAAGCTGTGAAGAAGCTGTTCTCTTACTACTAAATGTAGTGAGCTAGGAGTGGCTTAGACATATTTTTCAATGGATGAGGTCTGGCACCCTGAGCAATTTAGGGAGGATTTGATCTTAGTTGAGCAGTTTGGCTAGGAGAATACTTTGCAGCATGGCTCTCACTCTGTGGGATAACTGCCATGAAGTCAATTGAAGAAGGTGCTGGCTGATAGGGACTGATTCCCAGGTTGAGCATAGTTTTTACACTTGCCATTCTTTGCACATACTGTACTGGTTAATGAGCTGAGCCTGGTGCTCTTCATTGCTTTTCTTCCCATGGAGTTAACACTATATATATACAATGGCTCAGTGCCCACAATTCTACCATTCATTTCTGAAAGTGCTTTAGTTGCTTCCTCTGGAGAGGAGAAACATACACAAATCAAACCCTTTGTTATGACAACCATCCTTCATAACCTTTGCATTGGTGATTGTACCAAGTGGAGAAAGTTCTTTCCAGAGACATTCATCAATACCATCAAGATTTTTTGCATAAATGTTAACACTTTGTTATCTGATGATCCTATACTGCTTGATCTTTTCAAATTTGCACACAAGTTCCATCTGCCATTCTACTTCTTTCTGAGCTTGACCAACATCAATTTACTTTCCATTGAGCTTCTTTTGTTCATCTCATCTGCGCATCTTTATGCCTTTCAAAGCTGACAAATCCAAAACCTCTGGGTTTTCCACTTTCATTAACCACTACTATCACACTTAAGACAGATCCCAACTTGCCAAAGGATCTTTAAGGCACCTACCATCCATGTCTTCTCCAAAAATCTTCCTGTAAACATTGGTGAACTTTTTAGCTCTGAGTTCTGCTTCTCATTGTTTACAAGACTTAATCCAACAGACTTTGCTATCATTTAGAAGCATCCATTTCATTTTTGAATAGATCTTTCAGCTGCTTCTGTGTCTCAAAATGTACAATGCCATCACCTTTGAAACCGTTTTCACCACAGAGCACCTAATGTGAAAGTGATAGAGACAGGAGGCAGCCAAGGGTCCCCTGGTAAAACCCCACCTTCAAGACTAAAACAGCCTGAAGGCTGATAAACTGGACTGCAGGTCCTGGTTGGAGCCGCCCTTTCCTCACTGATTCTGAATAATGCCCACCTGCGCACTGGGATTACGGGGTGGAGCCTCGGGAAGTTTGTGCAGTGTGCAGTGGAGAGGAGTCTGGCCTGTTCCCATGTAGTGACCTAGGATTTAATCTATGAGGCGGGAAACCCGCTAGCAGGACTCTTTCTCTCTTTGCTGAGAGTTATTTTTCCTTTTTCCTTTCCACCCAATAAACTCCATTTCCCCTCACCCTTCAAGTGTTTGCGTGCCTTTTCCTGGTGGTGTGACAAGAACCTGGTTTTTTCTGCAACAAAAAGATGTTACCAGAAGCAGATGTATCATGCAATGCTTTATAATCAATAGATTTGTCCAATTTTTTTAATGAACATGTTGCCCACTCCATTTTTGCGGAGTGATGGATCACACCGAGACCACTTAGTGTGTATTGGCTAGTCTTTTATAACATCAAAATTCATGGGGTCTTAAGCACATTCCACATCCTGCGTTTCCCAAGGAGCGCCGGTGATGTGGTTCCTGTAGCCCGGGATAGAGAAGACTGGCCAGCAGGCCTGGTCACGTGCGGTGCGAGGACAGAGGATGGCTGGGACGCTGGGCTCACCTCTGCACCTGTCTGCCGGTAGGGCCACAGGCTGCGACCTTTCCGTGAAAGGAGAGTAAGGGCTGGGGCGGAAGCCTTGGCCAGCGCAGAGAGACAAAATCACCTGGAATCCAAAACTACTCCACGGCCGAGGAACTGCTGCCCGCAGCGGGCTGGGATGAGGGTGGCGGTGTAGGGTCCAGCATCCAGGCCTCGGGATCCTGTTCCTTCTTGAAGCTGCTTCGGAGCTGCGAGGGGGCGGGTGGGTCACTCTCGGCTGCCTCACCGGGTAATCTTATATAAGAAGAAAAGGAAAATGTCTCTGGTAGTGAAGACAAGGATTTTTTTGTAAAGTGTTTTGCAGGGGTGACGGGTGTTAAAACAGAAACCTTTTTTTTTTTTTAAGTTTTTTTCATGGGATTTTTTTCAGGGGAATGTATTTTTCAAGATAATACATATGTGCTGATCCTGGAGAGCACACTCCACACTCTCAGCGCTAACTGCTTGGGAGAAGGGATCCATTAATGTTTAATTGTACCTTCTCTTGTGGCCCCGTTTTTTCCCTTTTAATTATGAAACATTGGAGCCTACAGAAAGGTAGAAAAAATGGGCACCCACATAACCACCACCTAAATCCAATTAATTGTTAATATTTTGTCAAGTTTTCTTTATGTAATTTTTCAATTTGAATTAAAAGTAAATTATAGGCATCATGCTAATTTGCCTCTGTACACTTAAGCCTGCATATTCAAAAACTAAAGCCATTTTCTTGCATAACCACAATTCCCTTATCCTTTCACACCAAGTTATCAGTAATTCCTTACAATTATTCAACTCCCAAATATTTTCAAATATAAACAGTCATGCCCCAAGTAACACATTTCAGTCAACTAGTCGACCATCTACACTGTGGTGGTCTCATAAGATTAAACTGGAACATATATAGAAACTTGATAAACAGTATATGGCCCTTGATATTGGCATTGCCAATATCAAGTAGAGGAAATGACTGATGCTCAGCAGTGGTGCTGTAACATTTAATTTTCCTTATAAAAAATAAATAAGTGAAAATATATAGGGCTGGATGTAGTGGTTCATGCCTGTAATCCCAGTGCTTTGGGAGGCCAAGGTGGGCAGATCATCTGAGGTCAGGAGTTTGAGACCAGCCTGGCCAACATGGTGAAACCCCGTCTCTACTGAAAATATAATTAGCCTGGTGCAGTGGCAGGTGCCTGTAATCCCAGCTACTCAGGAGGCTGAGGCACGAGAATTGCTTGAACCTGGGAGGCTGAGGTTGCAGTGAGCTGAGATCGCACCAGCACTCCAGGCTGGGTGACATAGTGAGACTCTGTCTCAAAAATATACGTATATATACCATCTAGGTTTGCATAATTACACCCTATGATTCACATTTTCTTAATTGTTTCCCAATTATAGCAATTTTTAAAAGCCAGGATCCAATCGAGAACTGGACACTACATTTTGTTTTTGTCTCTTATTTTGTAATCCAGCACATTTCTCCATACTTAATCCCTTGCTAAATGGCATAGACTTTTTTTTTTTTTTTGAGACGGAGTCTTGCTTTGTCACCGGGCTGGAGTGCAGTGGCGTGATCTTGGCTCACTGCAACCTCTGCCTCCTGGGTTCAAGAGATACTCTTGCCTCACCCTCCTGAGTAGCTGGGATTACAGGTGCCTGCCACCACGGCCGGATAATTTTTTGTATTTTTACTAGAGACAGGGTTTCACCATGTTAGCCAGGATGGTCTCGATCTCCTGACCTCATGATCCACCCTCCTCAGCCTCCCAAAGTGCTGGGATTACAGGTGCGAGCCACCGTGCCCAGTCGGTATTGACACTTTAAAGGAACCATGCTAGTTATCACGTAGAATATCTCACATTCTGGATTTGTGGGACTGTTCATGGTTTCATTTAGTTTGTTTGTCTATCCCCTCAATTTTCTGAAATTTGAAGTTAAATTTAAAGACTTGGTTACATTCAGGTTAAACTTTTTTGGCCAGAATTATTCAAAGGTGATGTCGTATACTTCCAATAGCGGCACATTACGAAGTTTATGTCTGGTTGTCCCACTGCCAGTGATGCTAATTTTCATTCCTAAATTAAGGTGGTGATTGCCAGATGTCTATATCGTAATGGTATGATTTCCTCTGTAATTAGCCAGTGATCTCTGAGGTTATACCTTGGTACTACATGAATATTCATTCTTCATCAAATTTCTCAAAATTAGTAGACTTTGTTTTTTAGAGCAATTTTAGGTTTACAGAAACCAATGAGCAGAAAGTACACAGAGTTCCCATGTAACACTACCTTCCTATCCCACTCTCCACCCAATCCCTACCTCTGTACACAATTTACCCTATTATTAACACCATGTATTAATGTGGTATATTGGTTACAATTGATACATATTGATACATTACTATAACTGAAGTCCATAGTTTACATTAGCATTCACTCTTTGTGTTGTAAAGTTCTGTGAATTTTGACAACTGTATAATGACAGATATCCACCAGTATCATACAGAATAGTTTCATCACCATAAAAATCCTCCGTGTTCCACCTATGTATCCCTCTCTTACTTTCCTCAAATTGCTGAAAACCACTGATGTTTCTACATTATAGTATTGCCTTTTCCAGATTGTCATACACTTAGAACCATACAATATATTACCTTCTCATGCTGGCTTCTTTTACTTAGCAATATGCATTTAAGTCTTCTCCATGTCTTTTCTTAGCTTAATATCTGATTTCTTTTTAGTGCTGTATAATATTCCCTTGTATGGATGTATCACAGTTTGCGTAGCCATTAACCTACTGAAGGATATCTTGGTTGCTTCCAAGTTTTGGCAGTTATGAATACAACTGTTATAAACAGCCATGCGCAGGTTTTTAAGGTTTTAACAAACTCTTTCTGGCAGCTTCTGTTTTTCCTCACTTTTCAAGCCCATGGGCTATCTCCCAGTGCTGGTCGTTTTAATATTCTGCAGAGTACTTAAGCATTACAGAATATAGAAGCTGGAAGATACTTGGCAGTCATTTAGTCCCTCATGTTCTAGATGAGAAAACTGAAGCCCAGATACCTTATTATTTGTGCAGTCCCCCAATCTGAGTGTCAAATCCACCTCTCCCAGTTGTTTTCTGTTCAAATAACCCTGTGAACTTCAGTGACCCTCACTGACCACATCATCATTATTCACCAATAGTTCCCCAATAGATCCGCTCTACATTAGCTCATTTCAAATGTTCTTTTCCTTTCACGCACATACCATACAGTACTTAAAATTCTGTTGACAACAATCAATATGAATTCAAATTAAGTTCTTGCCCCAAGGATGTGACTTCTACTACACAGTTTCTTTTGGCCTGAGGGCAATTCCTAGGGCATGAACTTAGTCATGTGCCCTCAACAGACAGCACTCTAAGGAAGCTGGGGAATGAGGGTCTCCATTCTGCAGGGAGGCCTGGACTACAAACCACAGAAGACACTACTCTGTCCATCCCTCGTGTCATTTGGATCCATGACTTCATATAACTTCTCTCCATCTAGGAATAGCTCCTCCAGGATTTTGGTTGGTTTCTTTTGCTGGGGAAACGTGAAAGTAACATTCATGGAGGGAACAATAGCTCCTTGGCTCTTCAACTGGTCTTTCACCCTAAACTGATCATCTGCCTTTCCTACTATACAGGTACTATCAGGTTTACATTCTTACCCTCAGCTAGCACCTCCCCTGGTCTAGGTCACTTACCTGGTGATAGGAGAGGGGGGTGTAGTAGCCATGGCTACTAGACTTGTCCTTTTAAATTGAGCAATCAAAATTTAGTAAGGTACTACTTAAACATCCCTTGGCTGCCAAACACATTCCTGGCTACTTCCGTTGTGTAACAGCATTGAATTGCAGAGATAAGAAGCAGAAATTTCCCAAGTGAATCCCTCGGGGTGACGGTAAATAGTGCTACTCTTTCTTCAATCCATGGTCCTCCTTCTATTAGCGACATGGGACCATACAATGGTTACTGATCTAGGATATATGCTTGTATCCCATCCCTGCAGCTTCAAAGGGCTACTGGAGGATGTTCCATCACTCCATCAGTTTGACAGCTTTTAGTTGTTGTGATTTCATGATTTGTAATAGGATCACTGAATTGCATTTTCATGTGTCCACCACTGCAACTACAGTGCTACAAAGTACATTCCCTTTATACGGTGCTATAAAGTACAATGCAAGGATGTATAGGATTCCATATTGGAGGATTAAACATTCTGTCAACCCTTGGATAGTGGTGCTGGTTGAGGCCATGTAAGTAGGAAAGATAAATCCATACTCAGAATAAGTATCAGTTCCAGCCAAGATGAATCATTACCCTTCCTGTGATGGAAAGAATCCAGTGCATTCAGCTTGCCACCAGGTGGCTACTTGGTGTCCTTGAGGGATGATGCTATCTTGAGGCCTCAGTGTTGCTCTGTCTTGATGACAACTTTGACATTCAGAAGCAGCAGTAGCTAGATAAGACTTAGTCAGTGGAGACTTCTGCTGTTTGGGCCTCTGCATAGGCTCCATCCTTGTCACTATATTTATTCACCAATTGTGCCAGTACCAGTACTGAGCTGGCCAATGGAAGAGGTTGGCTAACATCATCTGGCTGAGTCGCTTTTCTCCTTGGTTGTTGATAGATACCTCTTGTAGGTGTTAACATGTGAAACAAAGATCTTCATACTTTTTGTACATCCCCATAAGTCCACCCATATGCCCTTTTCTCAGATGTCTTTTTCTCCAGTCTTCCAAATTTTCTCCTCCCATCCCCCTGACCTGTAGCCAAGCCATTTGACCATGAGTCAGTACATTCTTACTTTGAGTCTCTTCTCTTTCCATGCAAAGTGAATGACAAGGTGCGTAGTGCAAAGTTCTGCCAACTGAAATTTTTTTTTAAATTTTTTTTATTTTTTGAGACAGAGTCTTGCTCTGTCACCAGGCTGGAGTACAGTGGCGTGATCTCGGCTCACTATAAGCTCTGCCTCCTGGGTTCACGCCATTCTCCTGCCTCAGCCTCCTGAGTAGGTGGGACTACAGGCGCCCGCCACCACGCCCGGCTAATTTTTTTTTGTATTTTTTTAGTAGAGACGGGGTTTCACCATGTTAGCCAGAATGGTCTCGATCTCCTGACCTCATGATCCACTGCCTTGGCCTCCCAAAGTGCTGAGATTACAGGTGTGAGCCACTGTGCCTGGCCAAGAATTTATTTTTGAGTTGAATTTTTAAATATTAAAAAATTTTAAATATACAAACAAAAATTGTATATATTTGTAGTGTACAACCTGATGTTTTGAAATATGGATACACTGTGAAATGGCTAACTCAAGCTAATTAATACATGTGTTACCTCACATATTTATCATTTCTTTTGTGGTGAGAACACTTAAAATCTACTGTCCTAGCAATTTTCAAGTATGCAATACATTGTTATTAACTGTAGTCACCATGTTGTACAATAGGTCTCTTGAACTTGTTCTTCCTGCTTATCTTAATTTTTGTATCCTTTGACCAACATCTCCCCAGTTCTACCCTCCTCCCCCTGCCCCTAATAACCATTATTCTATTTTCTGCTTCTATGTGTTTGACTTTTTTAGATTCCACATATAAGTGAGATTACATGGCATTTATCTCTCTGTGCCTGGCTTATTTCACTTAATATAATGTCCTCCAGTTTCATTCATGTTATTACAAAGGACAGGATTTCCTTCTTTAAGGCTGAACAATATTTCATTAGGTATATATACACCACATTTTCTTTAATCATTCATCTGTTAAAGGATACTTAGGTTGATTTCGTATCTTGTCTATTGTGAATAATGTTGCAATGAACATGAGGTACAGATTTTTCTTTGACATATTGAATCATTTTATTTGGGTATATAAATAGTACTAGGATTGCTGGATCATATGGTAGTTTTATTTTTAACTTTCTGAGAAACCTCTATATTATTTTTCATAATGGCTGTACTAATTTACATTCCTGCCAACAGTATACAAAGGCTCCCTTTTCTCCACATCCTCACCAACACGTTATCTTTTGTCTTTTTCATAGTAGCCATTCTAAAAGGGATGTCTCATTGTGGTTTTGATTTGCGTTTCCCTGACGACTGGTGATGTTTGTTATTTTTTCATATTCCTGTTGGCCATTTGTATGTCTTCTTTGGAAAAATGTTTCTTCAGGTACTTTGCCTCCCTTTCATTAATCAGGTTATATGTTTTCATGCTATTGAGATGTATGAATACTTTATATATTCTGGATATTAATCCTTTATCAGATGTATGGTTTGCAAATATTTTCTCCCTTTTTGTAGGCTACCTCTTTACTCTATTGATTGCTCCCTTTGCTTGCACAGCTTTTTAGTTTGATATAATCCCGTTTGTCTATTTTTGCTTTTGTTGCCTGTGCTTTGGGGGTCATATCCAGAAAATCATTGCCCAGACCAGTCTCATGGAGCTTTTCCTGTATGTTTTCTTCTAGTAGTTTTATGGTTTCAGGTTTTATATTTAAGTCTTTAGTCCATTTGTGTTATTTTTTTATATATGGTGTGAGATAAGGGTCTAATTTCATTTCTCTGCATGTGGAGTTCTCCCAACACCATTTATTGAAAAGATTGTCCTTTCCCCATTGTGTATTCTTGGCATATTTACTGAAAATCAATTGGCCATAAACGTGGATGTATTTTGAGGCTCTCTATTCTATTCCATTGGTCTACCAGTCTGTTTGTATGCCAGTATCATGTTATATTTTTGATTACTATAGCATCATAGTATATTTTGAAACTGGATAATGTGATGCCTCCTACTTTGTTCTTTTTGCTCACAATTTGCTATTTGGAGTATTTTGTGGTTTCAAGTGAATTTGGGGACTTTTTTCTGTTTATGTAAAAAATATCATTGGAATTTTGATAGAGATTACATAAGAATCTGTAGATCACTTTGGGTACTAAGAACATTTTAACAGTATGAATTCTTCTAATCCATGAAGATGGGATATATTTCCATTTATTTGTGTCTTCTTCAATTTCTTTCACCAATGTTTTATAGTTTTCAGTGTACAGGTCTTTCACCTCCTTGGTTAAATTAATTCCTAAGTATTTGTGTAGCCATTATAAATGAAATCGTTTTCTTGATTTCTTTTTCAGATAGTTCATTGGTAGTGTATACAGATGCTACTCGTTTTTTTATGTTGATTTTGTATCCTGCAACTTTACTGAATTAATTTACTAGTTCCAACAGTTTTTTTTGGTGGACTCTTTAGGGTTTTCTACATTTAAGATCATGTTGTCTGCAGAGACAATTTCACTTCTTCCTTTCTGACTTTAATGCCTTTATTTCTTCTTCTTGACTAATTGCTAGAACTTGAATAGAAGTGGTGAAAATGGGCATCCATCTTGTTTCTGATCTTAGAGAAAAAGCTTTCAGCTTTTTACCATTGAGTATGATGTTAGATGTGGGCCTATCATATATGCCTTTATTGTGTTATGTGGACATTGATACCTAATTTGTTGAAAGTTTTTATTACAGAAAGATGTTGAATTTTGTCAAATGCTTTCTCTGCATCCATGGAGATATTCATATAGTTTTTGTCCTTCATTCTGTTAATGTGTATATCACACTTATTGATTCGTATATGTTGAATCGTCCTTGGGAGGATTTAATCTACTGCTATCTTTCCATAGCTGAAGTAGGCTGCTATCATTTTTTACTTACATCCGCATCCTGAGTTGATCTTCCAATGAACAAGCTTAGCTTTTTTCCTCCTTTAGCAATATTGGAACTCCTACGTAGGCAGTTGCCAGCTGAGGGAGAGAATCTAGTGTCACAATTTGGATAATGTGGGGACCTGGATCACCTGATCATACTGCTTACTTGTGTCCTCTAGTCTTTCTCATGCCCAATCCTTGATGTGATATGGTTTGGCTCTGTGTCCCCACAAAATCTCATCTCAAATTATAATCCCCACATGTAGAGAGAGGGACCTGGTGGGAGGTGACTGGATCATGGTTGCAGTTTCCCTCATGCTGTTCTCATGATATTGAGTGAGTTCTCATGAAAGCGGATGGTTTAAAAGTGTTTGGCACATCCCCCTTTGCTCTCTGTCTCTCCTGCTTCCTTGTGAAGAAGGTGCCTGCTTCACCTTTGCCTTTAGTCATAAGTGTAAGTTTCCTGAGACCTCTCTAGCCATACGGAACTGTGAGTCAATAAACCTCTTTTGTTTATTAATTACCCAGTCTTGGGTAGTTCTTTATAGCAACGTGAAAATGGACTAATTCAATGTGCTACTTCTATTTTATTATGATTTGTTGCTGGGCCAACCTGTCCTTATGATCTGGTAGATCTAACAAAACCAAACTTACGGTGGGAACTTTTAGCCACATGGTCACTTAATATTTGTTGTCAGATAGTCCATCTCTACCTAGGTGCAGTAGCATGCTAGGAGCTATTAAAGTACACAATTATGCTATATATTTATACAATATACAATTGCAGATAGCATGACCATGCTAGTGAACCCCACAAGACTATGTGTGAATCGTCTATTAGGGTTTGCTATAAACTCTACATGGTGCTTTTTCCAACTGCATATACTTCTAATACCATAGAGCCTACTAGATTGTATGGCTCAAACAGTAGGGCTGCTTGCCCTGGATCCTGGACCTGCTGCAGAGGCCTTTTGTGCCCTAAGCTTTTGTCAAAGGTGGAAGCCTTCTGTGTCACTCATCAAATGTGTCAGAACAGTATTCCTTAGTATAGGGGGACCAATGGGCCCCCTAAAATCTTCTGCAACTGATGTCACAGGTCCTTAAATCTTCAGATGATTTTCTCTCTCAGGGATGCTTGTGTCTCTCTAGGCCATCCAACATGTTATTTCTTACCCAGTCTATTTTAACTGGTAAATGCATGCTGTTGTCCTTCCCATGAATGTGAATTGCTTCTGGTAAATTTCACTCTAAGTACTGCTTCGGTTATTTTACATATATATTGATCGGTAATGTTTTCATTTTAATTCAATTTTAAGCATGTTCTAATTTTTATTATAATTTCTTCTTGCTTCCATGAATCATTTGGAAGCTGTTTGTAGTTTCTAAAATTCATGGATTACTTTTGGATAAGTTTTTGTTATTGATTTCTAATAGTGCTATTACACATTTGTTATACCACTGTAAACATTTGATACTACCTTTAGGTCTAATATCTGGTCAATTTTTGTAAATACTCCAAGTGTGCTTGAAAAGAATAGAAATTCTTTAACTGTTGATTAGCCTTACTAATTTTATTTTTATTTATTCAATTACTAAAAATGAAATGTTAAAATCTCTCACTGTGTAGATTTTTTTTATTGCTGTTTCCAATTCTAATTTTGGCTTTATTTATTTTGAGACTACATTATTAGGTATCCACAATTCTATAAAAATTAAGAAAAAATTAGAAAAGTTTAGAAAAAAATTAGAAAAATATAGAAAAAGATGTGACAGAAGCACACATGGGCTTTATCTGGATGATCTCTTCTCAGGTTTGTATCCTGGGGAAGGCCTTCACAGCAAGAGATGGACCAGAGGAT
Source organism: Homo sapiens (assembly GCF_000001405.40). Classification (NCBI taxonomy): domain Eukaryota; kingdom Metazoa; phylum Chordata; class Mammalia; order Primates; family Hominidae; genus Homo; species Homo sapiens. Next base: position 386,239 of record NW_021160024.1, on the reverse strand, counting down.
TGAGACAAGGGGGCCACCACTCAGAAGGGGAGGAGGGCAAAGGAACTCCTGAGGGAGGAAAGGATCAGAGAGGAGGCTTTCATATCTCAGTGATATCACTCAGCAGCATGGCATGGAGTCTGTAGTTCACAGAGTTCCAAAGAGCAGAAGCAGTTTGGGGTCTTTACAGCCTAGAGTTTATCTGTGGCAAGCAGATTTTGGACGTAGTTTCCCAGGGCATGTAAATCTGGCAGGCTCTAAATGCCTACAAATCTGCATGTCTGGGCTATGTTTAACACAATTGGATATTTAAAAATTTGAGTTTGGTGCCAGTTGGTTTTGAGCTAATGGGTTTCAACTTGCTGTGAAGAAATAACCTAGGTGCCAATACACAGAGGCCATCCTTGTCTCATTTACATTATATGCAGTGACTCTATCCTTTTTTGCTCACAATTGTTTTATTCATTTCTTTTAGATTTGTTTACTTTACTGTGATTATTTGGTAGATAAGATTTCAGTTTATTGTAGTTTGCTAATTCATTATTCAAAGTGTTCTAATAAATTTTGCTCCATCCTTAATCCCCATTTAAACAAAGCTGCTGTGGGTAAGGTCATCAATGGCCTTCGTGTTATCAAATCCATTTTGTTAACAAAATTTTAATGTTTTAAATTTTCTTATGTGTACACATGTTTAATTTATGGAATTTCAAAACGGGGTATCATACATGGAATTTGGTAGTTTTCTTTCCTTTTTTTGTTCACTTACTCTGTTTCTTAATGCTTTGCTGTAACCCACAACGCAATGTCCCCAATATTTATTATGTATAACTGATATTCACATAAAACATATTTTGTCATTAAGTGTTATCTTTTTCCACATAGGTGTTCCCGTCTTTAGTCTTCTATTTTCTCTCTCTCCCGCTTCTCTCCCACCCTTCCTCTCTCCATTTATGTACGTATTTAAATCATTTTAAAAATCATTTTATGTATCACTTCAAAGCCTTCAGTGTAAATTGAGGGTCCAATTTTGTTTTCTTTGAATTGTTTATTTTCATATATTAATTTTTCATCTACATGTAGATTCTCAATTTTTTACCACTCTTGCTTATTCTTAATTAATACAATTGTTTTTCTTAATTGATCAATTCCAATAGTTCTTTAGTAGGTGCTGATATCTGGTGAGAAAAGTTCCTCTCAATAGTCTTTTTTTTGGTACAATTTTCTGACTATTCTTCTACATGAACTTTAAGATAATTTAATCCAATTGTAAAATGCTTTTGTGATTCTAATGTGAATTTAATTGAATTTATATATAATTTTAGGAGATTTATGTTTTTACAAGAGTTTTGTTTGTTTTTTTGAGACAGGGTCTCACTTTGTCACCCAGGCAGGAGTGCAGTTGTGGGATCTCAGCTCACTGAAGCCCCAACCTCCCACCTCAGCCTCCCAAGTACCTGGTTCTATAAGCATGCGCCAAGCCCAACTAGTTTTTTGTTTTGTTTTGTTTAGAGATAGTGTTTCACAATTTGCCGAAGCTCGTCTTGAACTCCTGGGCTCAAGCAGTCCTTCTGCCTCAGCCTCCCAAAGTGCTGGGATTACAGGTATGAGCCACTGCACCTAGCCTCATGTGTTTCTCATTCAATAGCTTTTGGTAACATTTTTATAGTTTTTTTCTTATAGATCTTCTTTCTTGGCAAATTTATTTTACCTTTATTATTTTTGTTATTGTGAATATTTTTACCATTAGCATTTCAAGGTGCTTATTGCTAATATATTTTGTATTATGATCTTATTTCCAAATACCTTACCAATATTCCTCTTTAAAATATTTGAAAGTTCTGTTTTTCCTAATCTCTATGATTTCCTAGGCATATAATCATATCCAAAAAAAGTTTTCTATATATTTATACTGATTATTTCATTTAAAAATCTTGTTACATTCATGGATCCTCCAAGATAATTTTTAATAACAAATAATGACAGCAGCTATTCCTACTGGTTCCTTGTTTTAATTGAAATGTTCCTTTATGATTTAAAATACTTGTTTTGTAGGCATTTCATAAATAAAGGTTATGTTTAGACACTTTCCTTCAATTTCTATTTTACTCAAGAATCTTCATTACGAGTGGATGTTTAATCTTAACAATAGCCCTCTCAGCATCTACTGATATAATCACATTTTCCTCTTCTTTGATGTCAATTATGTAATTGTGTTAATATACTTAACTGATATTGAAATACCCGTGAATTCCTGAAATACAATGCTCTTTGCATACTGTATCACTCTTTTTTGTTGTTGCAATTATTGATAAAAGTGCTGGGTTTTTATTTAGAATATTCATTCATATGTATAAGTCAGATTGGTCTATAGTTTTGGTTTTTTTGTTTGTTTTTTTTTTTGAGACGGAGACTTGCTCTGTCACCCAGGCTGGAGTGCAGTGGCGTGATCTTGGCTCACTGCAACCTCTGCCTCCTGGGTTCAAGCTGGGATTACAGACATGCACCACCATGCCGGGCTAATTTTTGTATTTTTAGTAGAGACGGGGTTTCACCATATTGTCCAGGCTGGTCTTGAACTACTGACCTTAAGTGATCCACCTGCCTTGGCTTCCCAAAGTGCTGGGATTACAGGTGTAAGCCATGGCACCTGGCCTATAGTTTTGTCTTATGTTTATAAGGTTTTCATATTAATGCTGCACTACCTATGTGAAATGAATTGGTTTTTCTTTTTTAAAAAAATTTGGGATACTTTAAATAACATTGGAATTATCCTTCTTGCAACCCTAGTACTTTTTAAATTATGGATTTAAAAAATCACTTTACATTCTCTTCTTTGTAACTGGTCTAATAACATTTTAAATTTCTTCTTGGATTAGTTTTGGTCATTTATATTTTTCCAGAAAATTACCCATTTTCTCTAGATTTTCCAATGTGTGGCCATATAGTTGCATGCAGCATTTCAAAGTGAATCTTTCTTTTTTCTTTTCTTTTTTTTTTTTTTTTGAGATGGAGTCTTGCTCTGTGGCCCAGGCTGGAATGCAATGGCATGACCTTGGCACTCTGCAACCTCTGCCTCCTGGATTCAAGCGATTCTTCCACCTCAGCCTCCCGAGTAGCTGGGATTACAGACATCCACCATCATGCCCAGTTAATTTTTGTATTTTTGTAGAGACGAGTTTTCACAATGTTGGCCAGGCTGGTCTTGAACTCCTCACCTTAGGCAATCTGCCCACCTTGACCTCTCAAAGTGCTGGAATTAATTACAGGTGTGAGCCACCGCACCTGGCCCTCAAAGAGAATCTTTCTACCTTCATCTTATTTTACTTCTTGGTAGCATTCTACAGAGTTGAAGATTGTACTTGTGAGTTTTGAGTTTCTTGATTTGTTGAATGGATGTGATTAATTTATATCTTTAGTGTGATCATGCAGAGAAATGTATGAGGGATAGTGATGGAAAATTACAGGAAATCTGAAAATTTAATAAATTGTTGGCATTTTTATTTTCTCACTAGTACAGGGTTCATCTCAGTAATTATGAAATGTACTACCCTTTTCTCCTTTTCTATATTATTTTGGAAAATTACAGCCTTATAATAGAGATCAGAAATGTGTTAACATTATGGCTGATCTATCTGACAACAATGTTCTAAGAAAACAGTATCACAAATATACTTTCTCACCATAATTGTTCAAAACAGAAATTTTGTAAGCAAAGAATCAAGCATTTAAACCAAAGGAAAGTTAGAGTGATATCATCTCTGGTTGAAAAACACAGTCTTTCTGAAGAGATTTTCAATGTCCTTGAAGACCATAACTAATATAAAATTACACAATACATTTGCTAATAATATGAACTGTACACTTTTTATATGAAAATGATGCTTGCTACAACATGACTTTACTAAATTGGATTTCTGCAAAAGATAAAACACCAGGCATCGTTGCTCACACCTGCAATCCCAGCACTTTGGGAGTGCTGAGGCAGGGAGGATCACTTGAGTCCAGGACTTCGAGACCAGCCTGGGTAACATAGTGAGACTCTGTCTCTTAGAAAAGTAAAAAATTAACCGGGCATGATGAAGCATGACTGTAGTCTCAGCTACTTGGGAGGCTGAGGTGGGAGGATCGCTTGAGCACAAGAGGCTGAGGCTGCGGTGAGGTACGATCACTCCCCCGCACTCCAGCCTGGGTGACAGGGCCAGACTTTGTCTCAAAATATATGAAAGTAGATAAAATTAGTTTACTTGCTGAACATAATCAAATATAGCAACTTTCCAGTAAAAGACTATTAGGACAAACTATGTTAACACAACCTCAGATGATGCAGCATAGTTAAAACAAAACAAAACAGCTTTGGGCATATTCTATACTCCAACCTCTGTGGTGCAAAGGGACTATATGGCCAACTAGGTGTTGAGGCAGTCACAGAACTGCTGCACATGTGGTTTTTAAACAAGATTTTTAATTCCCCCTAAAGTGGAAGAAGTCATCTAACAAAATTTATTATGACTTAAATTGCTACTTCTTTATTTAGTTTTCCTCAAACTTTAACAAAATAAATTATGTAGTAAATTATAGTCATTAAGCTTGAAAAATGTTTCAATTGAATGGGAAAACTTCCTGTGATAAAGCCTCCAGTCATCAAGGAATAAGTCAATATATTTCATGCATAAGTTTTCCAACATGTTAAGCACTAAGCTTTTAACTAAATAGCTAAGGGGAAATTGTTGCCACCGAATGCAACACATATCCTGCCTTTTTAAATAACACATACTACTTATCTTGATTCCAATTCATCACTAAACATCACTTGTATAATTTGATCACAGTGATGTCCTCAGAGACGGTTGCATGCGGAATCCTATGAATTGTCTCAAGCTGCTATGCTTTTAATGTTCACCTTAAATTTATTTTTGTTCCCCTGCCTTGCTGTCAGCTGTCACATTTTATAGTTCACCCCTTCTGCAAGACCCTTTCGATACTTGTGATTTGTTAGGAAGCAGAAATCAGATAACCTAACTTGTTAGAATTCAATGTGAAGTAAGAATAAGTAGACTCTGGGTAGCTGCTGCCTCTACCATTAAAAATTTTTAAAAAAGAAGACTTTTCAATCACCATTTAATTTGAACTTGACTTACCTAGACTACTATTAGTCAATATTAGTTTAACAGAGGGAAAATTGTTAATAAAGTAGATCTAATATGTAAACACATACATCATTCCCTTGTTCTGGATTTCATACTTTGACTATATCTAAATTATCTGCTTTTCCTGGCCTTCAAAGTGGTCTTTAATTCAGCCCTGCTTTCCATGGGTTAAATTTCCTACAATGCTGAGATGTTTATATTGGTTTCCTCCTGTCCTATGAACTTCGTACTGATTTCTGCCCCAATAAATTTGATTAGATGAATAAAAAAAGACTTTTTTTTTTTTAAGATAGGGTTTCACTTCTGTTGCCCAGGCTGGAGCACAGTGGCACAATCTTGGCTCACTGCAACCTTGGCCTCCTCAACTCAAGAGATTCTTGTGCCTCAGCCTCCCGAGTAACTGGGACTATGGGTGCACCACTGGTGCCCGGTAAATTTTCGTATTTTTTTGTAGAGATGAGATCTCACCATGTTGCCCAGGCTGGTACGGAACTCCTGAGATCAAGTACTCCACCCACCTCAGCCTCCCAAAGTGCTGAGATTACAGGTGTGTAGTCACTGCACCAAGCCAATGAGGCACTCACTTCTGAATAAAGTACAAGCATTAGTAACATCTCCCCTGGTCTCTCCAGATTGGTTATGCTGCCACAACTGAATTCTAAATGGGTTAAGTGTTATACAATTAGTTAAGTTTCTTTGGTAGGTATCAAACAAAACATCCACCTAAATTCTTAAGAACCTTGTTAAATAGTGGAATTTACAAACTCTTTATACAGATTCTGATAGCACATTTCTATTGGAAGACTATGGAATCACAATGAGGAAGGTAGTACTATATAGATGAGCAGCTGGCTTAATTGGCTTCCTGTAACTTATTAACAAATTAGGTTACAAAATACAAAGGCAACTTAATGAATCATCATATTTGGCCTTGAACTCAAAGCTGAATTGTGTGAATTGTGAGGTGCTTTTCATAATTCAACTTGCTTAATTACCCATATGAATGAATCATTCATACCTCAAGCCTGCTAACACTTTTGGATACCTGATGTTTATGTAATGGTGGTGTTCATTTGCTGAGTAAGGCATGAGTAGTTTCCTAGGTAAGCAGAAGTAGCCCTCAAAACAATCATAATGTGACACAGTAACAACAGGGCTGTATTTTGAAGGCTCTAGAAACCCAAGACGTATTTCAAAAGCCAAGTTACTTTTTTTTCCCTTTACCACTTATCCTCAAGTTCTACAAGTTAGTTATACTGTATCAATTGAAATACATTTGGTTATTAGATGGCTATTTTTTAAAGATGGACAAGATAAAATTGTGTAAATTTACAAGAAGTAATGGAAACTGCTAATAATGCTTATTTAAAAGAGTTATTAAAGCAACAGCTTACTACCAACCCTAGGCTTCTGAAAAATTTGCACAGGTGGGAAAAGATATGGGCATAGCTCTTAGCATATTTTAACAACTGAAAATGTGGCAGGGAAAAAGTCTTTATTCTGAGAGTATAACCATCTTACTTTTGGGGTATTCAAATTACCTTTTATGAGATAATTCATTTTCAATGTTATTTGACAAAATTCAAAGTTGGTCATTCATTTTAGTCTCCTCATTTTTAGCGTATTTGCCTCCTGTAAAATCTAAGTTATGGGAACCACTAGAACATGTGTGAAAACAAGTTGCTGTGAGACGCAGTGACAGATTTTACAAAAAGAAAAGCATTTCATGACCACAGACCAGGATATCCAAAATTTTGGTGAGGTGGATTTTTTCCAAAGTCTGGTGACCAACTGTGGAAAAATAATTGGTTAATCTGACAGTGAGGCCCCTTAACAGTGTTGAAGAAAATGTATATGAAAAAGTACCCAGAGTCAAAGAAGTGAGAGCAATGCTGTATTTATCCCCCACTGACATGTGAGGAAAGAACAATAATTTTGGACATACACCTTGTAAAACTTCTCAAAAACCAGACTACATTTCTAACTCTAAAATACATGCTGCTGGTCATGAAGTTGTTCTGATCATATAATTTAACCTACTGACATTACATGTAATAAATTAAAAACCCAAGTACCATGCTTATTGTAGCGTCTGGTACATACAAGTTCTCAATAACAGTTAGTTTTATTTCTAGAAGGATTACCTCTGCCTCTTGTACCTTCTTATAAAAAGAAAGCAAAGTGAACTGAATAAATTGTATCTTAAATAGACTAAAGAAAAGCTTTTGTATTTGTCTTTTCTCAACTAAGCAGTTTCCATAGTGCCTAGCAAGGTCTCAGAAATGCACTCAGTGAAGAGGGTTAAATGGTAACTCTTTCAGAACAGAAAGGATTCCCTACAGAGCCCAGCAGAGGCAGAGCACTATTTTGCCCAGCCTGGCCTTGAACTCCTGGGATCCGGCCCTGCAGCCATCCTCCCACCTCAATCTTCCCAGCAGTTGGGACTACAGGCCTGTGCCATGACACCTGGCTAAGGATAGCTATTATGAGAGTAGTAATGTAAGATGAAACTAAAAAGGCTCATAATAGTAGGATTAAAAAGCACAAAAATTTTAAAGATTCTCCGATACGTTTATTTCATAAACTTTTTTGTACAGTTGACACTTACACATGGGTTTGAACTGGGTGGGTACACTTATGCGCATACTTTTTTCAGTCAAATGCAGGTGAGATCACACAGATCAGCATTTGTGCATGGGATGTGAAACTCATGTGTACGGAGGTTCAATTGGAGGGCCAACTTTTCTACATATGGGTTCTGCAAGACTTTCTGTGAGACTTGAGTATGGGCAGATTTTAGTATATGTGTGGCCCTGGAACTAGTCCCCAGTGTATACAAGGGATGACTGTATTTTAATGGTTTATATTGTTAAAAAGAGAAAAATGTCCACATAACCACAATTTTGAACACAGAACTATTTTAATATGAATTAATATGTCTTATATTTATTACCAATTGATCTTCAAATTGCAGCAGCCCATGAGCTTGGTTGTAAGTGTTCTTGCCATTCCACCCCAGCTGCCACTGAGTCAAACAGTTTAAAATATACACACACACAAACAGACACAAGCCTTTTGTAAAGTAAACAAATCTTTTATACTGTAAATAACTGTTCCTCAATGGAACTTTTTGTATCCAGTTTACTTCTTTTCTAAAGCTGGGATATTCATATTAAATACCCAACAATCTCTGTAAAGCAAAGAGTCTATCTCTGTGAAAACACAAGTAATTCTTGATGGCAATATTTTTCTTAATTCACCTAAACAAATGCAGTTTGGAAGGCCAAAAGGAGAAAAAAACACTTCAGATTATCAAAACCAAAAGAGATATGAAAAAATAACATATTTAACAATGTAAGCGGGAATTTTAAAAACAAGATCCTGTTGAAAATATTGATATTCAAAGAAACAAACAGCTTTGGATCCATAGCCACAATTTAGGTTTTCCTAGATTAAAATCAGAAGTGATTTTATTGTTGGAAGATACATTAATCCTTTGAAGTCAGAATAAGAGGCTTGACAATTTAATTTCTAATTAAGTGACTGAATAGACAAAGGATCAAATACAAACAGTAGTGCAGGAAGAAAATAAATTGGAAGAAATAATTTTTCAACCAGTAGTAATAATTAAGACCACCATTTTAAAATTTTCTATACACAAAGAATGAGAAAATATTGTTATTATTATTATACTTCTTTCTTCTTCAGTATTAGTGGACCCACATTATCTCCTGTCAATTCATTGTGTTTATTATGTGAACCATCGCAGGCAGGAAACTAAAAAGAAAAAAGAATTACAAGTGTTATTTTTAAAGTATGATTCATTAGGTAGAAACATTTGTGAAATGCTCTCAGAAAGAAAGAATATCGCTTGCTAAAAAAAATCAGATCGTTTTCCTAAGTAATAGTTACATTTTACATCCAACTGAGCCATATTCACAATCTAACAATTTAAACAGTTACTTCATTATTTGGTTTAGATTTTAAGTAAAAACCTATGAATGATTCCATATGAGTGACTAAAACAGACAACAGGTTTAAAAGGGAATCAAAGAAGTTCTTGGTCATTTTTGGAGCTTAAAATTCGAGCTCACCTATTGCTTAATTTTAAAACAATGGAATTTAATTCAAAATAAGTTATAATTTTTTCTTGCTATAAAACTCATGCATACCACACAATTTTTGAAAACAAAAATATACTTTAGGCTGGGTGCGGTAGCTTACGCCTGTAATCCCAACACTTTGGGAGGCAGAGATGGACAAATCACGTGACATCGGGAGTTCAAGCCTAGTCTGGCCAACATGGCAAAACCCCATCTCTAACTAAAAATACAAAAGTTAGCTGGGAGTGGTGGCATACGCCTGTGTCTCAGGTACTTGGGAGGCTGAGGTGGGAGAATTCCTTGAACCCAGGAGGTGGAGGTTGCAGTAAGCTGAGATCATGCCATCGCACTCCAGCCTGAGTGACAGAGCAAGACTCTGTCCCCGCAAAAATAAATAAAGAATAAATAAAAATAAATTTAAAAAAATTCACTCATAACCCATCCAGATATAGGTAATAATAATTAACAGTTTGTTTATCAAACTCCCGCTTGGGGGAGTGGGCGTGGCCCAGCAGCCGACGTGCCTTACCAGTGAAAAAGCTGGGGTTGGAGCTGCCACGAGGGGAGGTGTGGGGGGCCTAGGGTGCTCTGCTTGGACCTTCTGGGTGTCCCCCTGTGATCTCAGGTTCCTCACCTGTCTCAGAGGACTGATGGGCTGCTATGGTAGGGTTCTTTGGAGGACTAAGACAGATAGTCCCAGTAAAGCCCCATTAGCCCCTCCCCCACCCCCCGCCCTCTGGATTTTTTTTTTTTTTTTTTTAATTTTTCTGGCTTTCTGAGGAAACTTTCCGGAATGTGTCCAGGTGTTGAAGCGGGAAGGCTGGACACCCTCCCTTGGCGTTGCAGTTCCTTCCAGACGCCCCCTCTTCTTAGGCTCTTTTCAAGCGCACGCCAGGCAACATATGCTCTACCCAAGTGCACTTCACAGATCTTCCTGTGGGTCTAAAACAAGAACGCTTTCTTCCCTGACCCTTGCCCTCATATCACCCCAACCCCAAGTCTTTTGGCAGATCCGGCTACAGACTCGAGTGTCAGTTTAATGCTTGTTCCCTAAGGTCTCCCCAGGGCTCTTAGGACGGCGTTAGGGTTAGGATTCGGGTTCGGGTGCGCTTCTCGGCGCCCTGCGCTGGCGCTGTGTGCCTTTGGGAGGGCGGAGCTGCCTTCTCCTCAGCACAGGATGAGGTGTGTTCTGCTCAGCACAGACCTGGGGGGCCACCGCAAAGGCAGAGCAGCGTTCTCCTCAGCACAGACCTTGGGGGCACTGCCTCGCTTTGGGACAACTCGGGGCCGCATCGACGGTGAATAAAATCCTTCCTGTTTGCAGCCCTGAATAATCAGGGTCAGAGACCAGTCAGACGGGTTCAGTGTGGAAAACGGGAAACCAATAGCCCCTCTGAATCCTGCCCACTGAGTTTCTCCCCTGCCAAGGCGAGGTGGCCGCAGTGCGAGATCCACACCGCAGTCTCGGAAGACAAATGCAGCATTCCTAATGCAGACATGACACCCAAAATATGACACCCCCATTGCTCATGTAACAAGCACCTGTAGTGCTAATGCACTGCCTCAATACAAAAACATTAATATAAGATCCACAATCCCCTCGCTGCCGTGCAGTCCTAAGACAGCGATCATAATAATCAACATTGACATAGTCAATACAAACGTAGTAATGAACCTAGGGTTAAGGTTGGTGTTAGGGTTAGGGGTTAGGGGTTAAGTTTACGGTTAGGGGTTGGAGATAGAAGTTGGGGTCAGAGTTAGGGGTTAGGAGTCAACGTTTAGAGTGAGGGGTTAAGAGAGGTTAGGGGTTAGGGATTAGGTGTTAGGGTTGGGTTAGGGTGAGGGTGAGGGTTGGGGTTAGGTGTTAGGGTTAGGGTTAGGGGTTAGGGTTATGGTCAGGGGTTAGGGGTCAGGGTCAGGGGTTAGGGGTCAGGGTCAGGGGTCGGGGTCAGGGTCAGGGGTCAGGGTCAGGGTTCCCTCTCTGTTATTTGTCTATTTACTCTGCTGACTGTTCCCTTTGCCATGCAAAAGCTATTTAGTTTAATTAAGTCCCAGCTATTTAGCTTTGTTTTTATTGCATTTGCATTTGGGTTCTTGGTCATGATATCCTTGCCTATGCCAATGTCTAGAAGGGTTTATCCAGTGTTACCTTCTAGAATTTTTATAGTTCAGGAATTAGGTTTAAGTCCTTAATACATCTTGAGTAGATTTTTGTATAAGGTGAGAGATGAGAATCCAGTTTTATTCCCCTACATGTGGCTCGCCAATTATCCCAACATCATGTGTTGAAAAGGGTGTCCTTTCCCCACTTTATGTTTTTGTTTACTTTGTCGAAGATCAGTTGGCTGTAAGTATTTGGGTTAATTTCTGTGTTCTCTCTTCTGTTCCATTGGTCTATGTGCCTATTTTTAAACCAGTACCATGCTGTTTTGGTAACTATGGCCTTATTGTACAGTTTGAAATCAAGTAGTGTGATGCCTCCAGGTTTGTTCTTTTTGCTTAGCCTTGGTTGGGCTACATGGCTCTCTTTTGGTTCCATATTAATTTTAGAATTGTTTTTGTAATTCTCTGAAGAATGATGATGGTATTCAGATGGGGATTGCATTGAATTTGTAGATTGCCTTTAACAGAATGGTAATTTTCACAATATTGGTTCTACCTATCCATGAGCATGGGGATGCATTTCCATTTGTTTGTGTCATCTAAGATTTCTTTTCTTTCTTGGTCTTTTTTTTTTTTTTCAGAGGGAGTTTCGCTCTTGTCGCTGAGGTGGGAGTGCATTGGTGTGATCTCAGCTCACTACAACTTCTGCCTCCCGGGTTCAAGCAATTCTCCTGCCTCAGCTTCCCGAGTAGCTGGGATTATAGGCATGCACCACCGTGCTTGGCTCCATCTGTGATTTCTTTCAGCAGTGTTTTGTAATTTTCATTGTAGAGGTCTTTTGATTCCTTTGTTAGGTATATTCCTAAGTTTTTTTTGTTTGCTTTTTTGTTTTTTGCAGCTATTGTAAAAGGGGTTGAGTTCTTGATGTGATTCTCTGCTTGGTAGCTGTTGATGTATAGAAGAGCTACTGATTTGTGTACATTAATCGTGTATCTGGAAACTTTGCTGAATTCTTTTATCAGTTCTAGGAGCTTTCTAGAGGAGTCCATAGGGTTTTCAAGGCGAAAGATCATATCGTCAGCAACCAGTGACAGTTTGGCTTCCTCTTTACCAATTTGGATTTCCTCTATTTCCTTCTTTTTTCTGATTGCTCTGGCTAGGACTTCCAGTACTATGTTGAAGAGGAGTGGTGAGAGTAGGCTCCTCGTCTTGTTCCAGTTCTCAAAGTGAATGCTTTCACCTTTTCCCCATTCAGTATTATGTTGGCTGTGGGTTTGTCACAGATGGCTTTTATTACATTAAGGTATGTCCCTTGTATGCCTATTTTGCTGAGAGCTTTAATCATAAAGCAATGCTAGATTTTGTCGAATGCTTCTTCTGCATCTGTTGATATAATCATGTGAGTTTTTTTTTAATTCTGTTTATTTGGTGTATCACATTTATTGACTTGCGTATGTTAAACCATTCCTGTATCACTGGTATGAAACCCACTTGATCATGGTGGATCATCTTTTTGATATGTTGTTGGATTCAGTTAGATAGTATTTTGTTAAGGATTTTGGCATCTGCGTTCAAGGATGTTGGTCTGTAGTTTTCTTTTTTGGTTATGTCCTTCCATGGTTTTGGTATTAGGGTGATGCTGGCTTCATAGAATGAATCAGGGAGGGTTTCTTCTTTTTCTGTCTTGTGGAATAGTGTGAAAGGATTGGTATCATTTCTTCTTTGAATGAAAGAAGACATCCTTTGAATGTCTGGTAGAATTCTGCTGTGAATCTGTCTAGTCCTCGGCTTTTTTTGTTGGTAATTTTAATATTACCATTTCGATCTTTCTGCTTGCTTTATTGGTCTGCTTGAGGTATCTAATTCTTCCTGATTTAAGCTAGGAGGGTTGTATTTTTCCAGGAATTTGTCCAACTCTCCTAGGTTTTCTAGTTTATGTGCCAAAAGGTGTTCATAGTACCCTTGAATAATCTTTAATATTTCAGTGGTGTCAGTTGTAATATCCCCTGTTTCATTTCTTAGTGAGGTTATTTGGATTTTCTCTCTTCTTTTCTTGGTTAATCTTGCTAACGGTCTATCAATTTTATTTATCTTTTCAAATAACCAACTTTTTGTTTTATTTATGTTTTGTATTTTTTGTTGTTGTTGTTGTGTCAATTTCATTTAGTTCTGCTCTGATCTTGGTTATTTCCTTTGTTTGCTGGGATTGGGTTTGGCTTGTTCCTGCTTCTCTAGTTCCCTGAGATGTGAACTTAGATTGTCTGTGCTCTTTCAGACTTTTTGACATAGGTGTTTAGGGCTACAAACTTTCCTCCTAGCACTGCCTTTGCTGTATCCCAGAGGTCTTGATAGGTTGTGTCATCCAGTTCAAAGAAATTTTTTACATTTCCATCTTGATTTCATTTTTCACCCAATGCTCATTCAGGAGCAGGTTATTTAATTTCTATGTATTTGCATGGTTTTGAAGATTCCTTTTGGAGTTGATTTTCAGTTTTATTCCACTGTGATCTGAGAGAGTGCGTGATACAATTTCAATTTTCTTAAATTTATTGAGACTCATTTTATGGCCTATCATATGGTCTATCTTGGAGAAAATTCCATGTGCTGTGGAATAGAATGTGTATTCTGTGGTTGTTGGATGAAATGTTCTGTATATATCTGTTAAGTCCATTTGTTCCAAAGTATAGTTTAAATCCAGTGTTTCTTTGTTGACTTTCTGTCTTGATGACCTGTCTAGTGCTGTCAGTGGAGTATTGAAGGCCCCCACTATTATTGTGTTGCTGTCTATCTCATTTCTTATGTCTACTAGTAATTGTTTTATAAATTTGGAAGCTCCAGTATTAGGTTCATGTATGTTCAGGATTGTCATATTTTTCTGTTGGATGAGGCCTTTACCGTTTTATACTGTCTGTCTTTGTCTCTTTTAGCTACTGTTGCTTTAAAGTTTGTTTTTTCTCATATGAGAATAGCTATCACTGCTCGCTTTTGGTGTCCATTTGCATGAAATGCCTTTTTCTACCACTTTCCTTAAGTTTATGTAAGTTGTTATGTGTTAGGTGAGTCTCCTGAAGGCAGCAGATAGTTAGTTGGTGAGTTCTTTATTCTGTGGTTCTGTATCTTGTAAGTGGAGCATTTAAGCCATTTACAACCAACATTACTATTAAAAAGTGAGGTACCATTGCTTTCATCATGCTCTTTGTTGCCTCTGTACATTGTTTTTGTTTTCTGTTTTTGCTTTTTAACTTGTATTTTTGTTTTGTAGGTCTTGTGTGATTTATGCTTTAATGAAGTTCTGTTTTGATGTGTTTCCAGGATTTGTTTCACGATTTAGAGCTCCTTTTAGCAGTTTTTACAGTGCTGGTTTGGTAATGGCAAATTCTGTCAGCATTTGTTTGTCTGCAAATGACTGTATCTTTCCTTCATATATGATGTTTAGTTTTGCTGGATACAAAATTCTTGGCAGATAATTGTTTCGTTTGAGGAGGCTGAAGAAAGGACCCCAATCCCATCTAGCTTGTAAGGTTTCTGCTGCGAAATCTGTGGTTAGTTTGATAGGTCTTCCTTTATAGGTTACCTAGTGCTTCTGTCTCACAGCTCTTAAGATTCTTTCCTTTGTCTTAACTTTGGATAACCTAATGACAATGTGCCTAGGCTAAGATCTTTTTGTGATGAATTTCCCAGGTGTTATTTGTGCTTCTTGTATTTGGATGTCTAGGTCTCTCACAAGGCCATGGAAATTTTCATTGATTATTCCCCCAAATATGTTTTCCTGGCTTTTAGAATTCACTTCTTCCTCAGGTACACAAATTAGTCTTAGGTTTCATCGTTTAACAGAATGCCAGACTCCTTGGAGGCTTTGCTCATATTTTCTTATTCTTTTTTCTTTGTCTTTATTGGATTGGGTTAAATCAAAGACCGTGTCTTCAAATTCTGAATTTCTTTCTTCTACTTGTTCAGTTCTATTGCTGATACTTTCCAGAGCATTTCACATTTCTAAAAGTGCATCCAAAGTTTCCTGATTTTTTTTTAATTTAAGCTATCTATTTCCTTGAATGTTTCTCCCTTCACTTATTGTATCATTTTTTGGATTTTCTTGCTTCACCTTTCTCTGGCCCCTCCCTGATTAGTTTAATAACTAACCTGAATTCTTTTTCAGATAAATCAGTGATTTCTTCTTTGTTTGGATCCATTGGTGATGAACTGGTGTGATTCTTTGGGGGGTATTGAAGAGTCTTGTTTTGTCAGATTACCAGGGTTGGTTTTCTGGTTCCTTCTCATTTTGGTAGACTCTGTCAGAGGAAAGGTCTAGGGCTGAAGACTGTTGTTCAGACTCTTTTGTCGCACGGAGTGTTCCCTTGACGTAGTACTCTCCCCCTTTTCCTATGGGCATGGCTTCCTGTGAGCCGAAGTGCATTGATTGTTGTCTCTCTTCTGGGTCTAGCCACCCAGCAGGTCTACCTGGCTTTGGGCTGGTACTAGGGGTTGTCTGCATAGAGCCCTGTGATGTGAACCATCTATGGGTCTCTCAGACATGGATACCAGCGCCTGTTCCAGTGGATGTGGTGAAGGGTGCAATAGACTCTGTGAGGGTCCTTAGCTTTAGTGGTTTAATGCTCTATATTCGTGCTGGTTGGCCTACTGCCAGGAGGTGGTGCTTTCCAGAAAGCATCAGCTGTAGTAGTGTGGAGGCACTGGCAGTGGGCAGGGCCCTAGGACTCCCAAGATTATATGTCCTTTGTCTTCCACTACCAACTTAAACATTTGTGACAATTTCAATGTCAGAAATTTATGTGTAATTGAATTTATTCTGGTAGCCTAAATTCTGGTAGCTTATTTTCTTATATGCTTCAATCTTTATAATTTAGTTCTCACATGAGGGAGATCTAATATTGGAAATATTTTCAATCTGTATGTTTATGTATTTATTCTAGTTGTCCTGGCACAAGGTTATCAATGTTGCTGTGTGACCAGCCATTGGCTTTTCACATTTACAACTCCTCTGAATTTTTTCTTGCCTCATTTCTGGTGCTGGGAAATTCTGATATTTTCTCCTCATCTCCATTGTACATTTTAGGGATTCTTGAAACTTTTGATGCACAAACATCCACACTTTCTGCATAAGTAAAATATTTTACTTAGATATTTTCTAGCAGACACTGAGTTCTCATGAGAAATCCTCAGTCTCTTTATTTGGAACACCCCCTCCCCAATATTCCATATGGAGTAGTTTTGTGTAGAATGTGATTACTTCATTAATATGTCAAAGTATGGATACATTTTGAACACATTTCTGAAGTTGTAATACCTTTCTTGATGAATAGTACCTGCGCATGACCAGAATTGTATTTTTAGTAGATACGGGGTTTCACCCTGTTAGCCAGGATGGTCTCGATCTCCTGACCTCGTGATCCGCCTGCCTCGGCCTCCTAAAGTGCTGGGATTACAGGCATGAGCCACAGCGCCTGGCCAATCACATCATTCTTGTATTCACCTAGTGGTCGCTGTGTACCTCCCACGTCAGGCACCGTACTACCAGACACTGAGGATCCGGTGGGGAGCCAGAGGGACTTTAAGGACTGAGTCAGTAGGACACGGGCTGGTGGGATAGGGAAGGATGAGGGAGACAGAGGGTCAGATGATCCCCATGGTTCTGCCTGGGGCACCTGAAGGGAAGTCAGAAAGGAAGCCAGGTTGAAGAGGGATGGCAATGAGTTTTGTGTTTGGTCTGCAGGACAGAGATGCCGGGCTGCGGGGAGGACAGGTGGGAGGACAGGTAGGAGGTGTGCATCACAGGTAAAGACAATTGCTCTATGGGCCTGGGGTTTGATGGAAAGAGACGTTAAATCATGGTTCATGATTCTTTCTCAAAATTGTAATGCAAAGAGCCCTCAATGAATCTGCATTTTATAGCATGTACTGTGCAAGTTTCGGGGGTATCAGGAAGAAGTAACATGCTGCTTTGTCTCCTGAAGCTCACAGGCTAGTGGACATGGCAGACATGTAAGAGAAGGGAGAAGAGGTCAGTCCACAGAGAACAGATTTGGGTTTACCTCTGATGCTGGCCCTCACCCAGATCAACCAAACCTAATGGAAACAGAGAGCTGAGAAAGCGGGAGAGTTGAGCTCACTGATGCTCGGATTTTACAGATGAATCTGGAGGCGGTTTCTCCCAGTGCTGACATCCAGGCACTGCGGGTGCCACAGAGAAACATGGAAGGGCCTTCTGGAGACCACCACACCTGGCATCCTTCCCCCTTTTAGAACTGGAGCGAAACAGCCATGTGTGCTATCACTACTTCTTTCATTACAGTGTCGGTCCAACACCGTAATGGTCTGACAGTCCTGCAGCCTGGAAGCCCAGGATCACGGTGCCAGCAGGGTTGGTTTCTTCCAAGGCCTCTATTCTGGGTGGTGGCCTCATGTGGCCTTTCCTCTGTGGGCACGTGCCCTTGGTGCTTCCCACCACTTTTTTCCAAGTTCACGCTGATCCCTTGAATCAGTTGTCACTCCCCCACTTGTTTTCCAGCTTCTGTGATGTTCCTGGCAGGCGCTCCTCTCACTCTCTGCTGTGAACTCTTCCCTTTTACATCTGCAATCCCTTTGCATTCCTTTTAGAGGTGTTTGGAGGAGAAGCAAGGGCTGAAGTTGTTCCCACTCATGTCTTTCACCCCCCAGGTGCCCCTGATGTTTCAGCTCCCAGTGGTGCCTGCAGGGAGATCCCTCTGTACTTCATAATATTATTTCTATTTTTTACACTTTTTTTTTTGAGATGGAGTTTCACTCTTCTCGCCCAGGCTGGAGTGCAGCGGTACGATCTCAGCTCAATGCGACCTCCACCTTCCAGTTTCAAGCAATTCTCCTGCCTCAGCCTCCCAGGTAGCTGGGATTACAGGTGCTCACCACCACGCCCAGTTAATTTTTGTATTTTTAGTAGAGATGGGGTTTCTTCATGTTGGCCAGGATGGTCTCTAACTCCTGACCTCAGTTGATCCGCTCGCCTTGGCCTCCCGAGGTGCTGGGAATACATGCGTGAGCCACTGCGTCTGGCCACACTTTTTTTTAAAAAAATTTCCTTGCAGTACTGCTTGGGCTACATGGCTTAAGCTTTTGTACATAGTTTTCATTGTTCGGTTCTAAATGCTTTTAGATTTTCATTCTAATTCTTCTCGGACCAGTGCATTATTTTTTATTTTTTTAATTTAAAAAATAATTTAATTTAGTTTTATAGAGATGGGGGGTCTCACTATGTTGCCCAGGCTGGTCTTGAACTCCTGGGCTCAAGGGATCCTCCTACCTTGGCCTCCCAAAACTCTGGGATTATAGGTGTGAGCCACCGTGCCTGGCCAGTAGTGTATCTTTAAATTTCCAAACATAGGGGAGCCCTTAATTTTAGTTTGGTTGCCAATTTATGCCTTTATTCTGTTGCATCAAGAACATGGCTGGTGTGATGCAAGTTCTTTTGCTATTTGTTGAGTCTTGTTTTGCAGCCTAGGACATGGTGAGTGTTAGTAAATGTCCAAGGTGAACTTGAAAACAATGTGTGGTCTGTAGTTTTTGGGTGCCCACTAAATCAAGTTTGTTCAACTTTTCCATATTCTTTTTTTTATTTTTATTTTTTGACAGAGTCTCACTCTGTTGCCCAGGCTGGAGTGCAGGGGCATGATCTCAGCTCACTGAAACCTCAAGTTCAAGTGATTCTCCTGCCTTAGCCACCCGAGTAGCTGGGATTACAGGCATGAGCCACCACATCTGGCTCATTTTTGTATTTTTTATTTTATTTTCAGCATGTTGGCCAAGCTGGTCTCAAACTCCTGACCTCAAGTAATCTGCCTGCTTTCGCCTCCCAAAGTGTTGGGATTACAAGCATGAAACACTATGCCTGGCCCAATTTTTCTATATTCTTCCTAATTGAGCCTGCTTAAACCAGCAGTTCCAGTGAGAAGTAGTATAATTTCCTGCGTGGAGAATTTGCTCATTTATTAATTTTTCCTTTTCTTGACACTTTTTTGTTTTGTAGTCATTTGAGGCTCTATCATTATGCAGGTGCACACAAGATCAGAATGGCTAATGCTTCTTTTTTTTTTTTTTTCTTTTTTTCCCTGTCGCCCAGGCTGGAGTGCAATGGCTTGACCTTGGCTCACTGCAAACTTCGCCTCCCAGGTTGAAGCAGTTCTGCCTCAGCCTCTCTAGTAGCTGGGACTACAGGCATGGGCCACCAGGCCTGGCTAATTTTGTACTGCAGTAGAGATGGGGTTTCACCATGTTGTTCAGGCTGGTCTCGAACTCCTGACCTCAGGTGATCTGCCTGCCTTGGCCTCCCAAAATGCTGGGATTACAGGCGTGAGCCACCATGCCTGGCCGCTAATACTTCTTTGAAAATAATTAAATTATTTATGTATTTATCCTTTTTCCCCCACCCCTCCCCCACCAGTTAATGCTTTGGAATGAATACTCATCAGTATGCTGCAACCACTTTTAATCCTAATAATGATTTTGCCCTGGAGCCTACTTTGTGCGATATGAGCTTCTCTCCACTAGCTTCCTTTTGGATGGTCTTTGCCAGATGTGTCTCCTTCTATCTGTAGTAATTAGAGCCATTCCAGCTATGTGTCAAAAATAAACAAAAGGGGTTTATGATCAAGCATGGGTGACTTACACAATCATCAAAAGAAATGGAGGAACAACTCCCAGCCCTCCGAATCGGCCACCTCCTGGGATCAGGAATAAATCGTAATCTCAAAATACAGGTAAACAGTCTACCTCCTGTCCCCTAAATGAGATGCCAAGCATGCCCCTCCCCTCAGCCAGGCTGTCTCCATCCAAGCTTCAATGACCACTGGCCTCCCTGCTGACCCATGTCCCACTGAGGAGCCCCAAGCTCTGAACAAACTGCCTACGCACCATCCCCTCGGGCTGCACCTGCTCCCCAGGCCTTCCCCCCCTTTGGAGCTGCCTCTGTCCACCAAGGGTGCTGTCGCTCACCTAACCTTCCAACCAGAACTCAGTGGTACCTTGCTGCCCCCTCCACTCCCTGAAGAAGCTGCCCCCATGCCTGTCAAGTTCTTCCAACTGCTCGAACCTTCTGGAACTCCAGGCCTCAGCATGTCTTGTCTGGGTGGCTGCAATGGCTATGCTTGCTTCTCTGTCTCTCTCCATCAATCAGTCAACCAATCAATCGATCAATCATCTATCAATCAGCTATCCACCTATTAATCTATAATCAATAATCTGTTAATCTATATAATTTACTTCTATAATCAATCATTGATCTATCCCATGTATCTTCCTATCTACCCTTTATCATGTCTATCCATCTATCTATCATTTATGCCTCTATCATGTTTATCTTTCAATAATTTATCTATCACCAGGCACAGTAGCATGTGCCTGTAGTCCCAGTAACTCAGGAGGCTGAGGCAGGAGGACTGCTTGATGCTAGCAGATCAAGTCCAGACTGGGCAAGATAGTGAGATCTCATCTCTAAAAAAAATTTTTAAATCATCTATCATCTCTCTCTATTCATCTATCTATCCATGTATCTATCATGTATTTTATCTATCACTTAGCACCTATGAATCATCCATCATCTATCAATTATCTACATCATGTCTATATATCTATATATCTATGTATCAATTTATCCATCAATCATCTATCTGTCTGTTTTCGAGGTGATATTCACAAAATATACAATCAATCCCTTTAAAGTGCACAATTCAGTGGCATTTAGTATGCTCTATAGTTCCAGAACATTTTCTTCGAAATAAAAAGAAACCCGAGGCTGGGTGTGGTGGCTCATGCCTGTAATCCAGCACTGTGGGAGGCTGAGGCAGGACGATCGCTTGAGCTCAGCAGTTTGAGACCAGCCTGGGCAACATAGTGAGATCCTGTCTACAAAAAAAAAAAAAAAAATCACAAAATTAGCAGGGTATGGTGGCACACGCCTGTGGTTCCAGCTACTCAGGAGGCTGGGGCAGGATTGCTTGAGCCCGGGAGATCAAGGCTGCAGTGAGTTATGAATGCACCACTGCACTCCAGCCTGGGTGACAGGGTGAGACCCAGTCTGTCTCATTAAAAAATAAAAAATAAATAGAAAATGTTTTGAAAAGGACTGCTCCTGCCCCATTTTCCTTCCCCTGCCCCAGCCCCTGACACCCACTCATCTGCTTTCTGTCCTGATGAGCCTATTCTGGACATTTGTGTCTGGCTTCTTTCACCCAGCATGAACTCTTTGAGGTCTATCTGTCGTGTTATGGTGGAATGGCACTGTGCCTTATGGACAGGCTGTTTGTCCATTTGTCTGTTGATGAACACTCAGGCTGTCCCACCTTTGGGAGGCTATGGCCATCCATGCATAAAGGTATGGCCGCACAGCTGTTCTCAGTTCTCATGCCTCTGAGGCCAGATGGGCTGCTGCACTCTATTCCCACCAGCCACCCTCACATGCAGCCACGTGGCCTGCAGTACTCGACACTGCTTCCCTGTTGTCGAAAGCTCCTCGGTGGACTCTGGGCTAAGTCCTGTCTCTGTAGTGTGTCCTCCAAGGCCCACCAGCCGCAGCCCTCCCTTCCCCTGCCCTCCCTTCCCCTGCATGCAGCACGAACACCCTGCACTGTGCTCCCAGTTCCCCCCCCAGGCCCCTGCACAAGTGGCCTCCTCTCCCTAGAAGGGCCAGCAGCACCCTGTGTGGCAGCTTAGACATCCCTTCTCTTGCCTTCGTGCTTCTCCCACAGGGACCAGCATGATCCCCTCCCCTAGTCCTATTTGGGCTCAGCCATTATTTCTGTGCAATGTTGTTGCAGGTTCTGCCCCGCCACCATCACAGGAATCCTAAGAGCATTGGCGTGATGCTCGGTGGAGGGCATGTTGGACCATGTCTTCTGGTGACTTTCCCCCACGGAGGGGCTTGGGGGTCAGGCCCACTCCTTTCCCAAACTCACTCTTTCCCCCACAGGCAACCCACTCCCTCTCCTCCATCTCTCCCTAAGACCCGCAGCAGACACCACCAGACTCTGAGGCAGGGAGGAAGGACTGCATTTGCCAATGGAGGCTTTTACTGGGGGGACTCGGGATGGCACCCGGCCTGAGGGCTGAGGGCCCGGGAAAGGCACACGGTGGCGGTGGGTAGGCGCTCTCTCTCGGGCAGGCGCTGGCTCTGCAGACAGCTCCCCCTGGTGACCCCTGTTTGGCACTGAGCTGGGAACATGGTGTCCGCACTCCCAGCTAGCAAGCAGAGGTCCGTGTGGCCAGGTGGCGGCTGACAGTGTAGGCTGGCGGGGTGACGGCCACAGGGGCTGGGTTTGGCACCAGTGGGAGCCGGGGCCCCAGGGGACTCAGAGGCTGGGCCGCCCCTGCTGCTGGCAGGGTAGTCACATTGGCCACGGAGATGGCTACGAATAGGGAATCCAATAAATTAGGCTGTAGAAAGAGGAGGTGAGGGGCCGAGGGGGCGGGGCCTACATTCTCACTCTGCAGGCAGTGCTGTGCGTCCCTCTCCCGTGGGATCTTCGGGGCTTCTGTGGGGGAGAGGATGCAGGTGAGGCGCTCTGTGTGACCATGGGTACCACTGGGCGGCTTTTATGGCATCGCATGGGATGGGAGCCTTGGCTGGCCACCCTCAGGAGATGGACCGTGGGGTCTTTGAGAGACTGACGAGGAGGGAGGCCACCTGCTGTGTCAGGGGCTGTGGCCTGAGGGGCTCCTGGGGCTCGGCTGCGCTGCTGCGTGGCCAGCACTGGGCCCTTGTACCCCAGCTTCCTCCACGGAGCAAAGTAGAGGACTCACTGCCCTGGACTGGGCCCAGTCACTGTGGAACAGACCCCCCAGGGAGTGGGAGGGACAGGGTGAGGGTTACGCAGGGCGCCACCCTCCACATCTACTTTCCCGAGGTCGGGAAGGGTCTTCTAGGACGAGGGGCCTGGCATGCAGGGGCGGGGTGCGTGCGCAGGTGGGCACTGCCGTCTCCTTCATGTGATTCGAGCTTGGGGGCGGGGCAGGGGCTGGGGAGGGTGGCGTCAGGTGGAGGCACCCTGGAGGCCACCAGGGCCTTGCGGGCTAGGTGCCGGCACATGCGCTGGGGCCACGGCCTCGCCCAGGATTTGGCAGAGCTCCTGGAGGTGCCGCTGCATCTTGGGAATGCCTGCCAGCTGCTGCTCCAGCCGCTGTTTCTCCTCTGTCAGACTCAGGCTGGCCGCTGAGTCCAGCTTCTCGAACTTCCAGCCGCCCTCCCCATCGAACTGTAGCAAGTGTGTGTGGTACTCCCTGGCCAGGAGAGGGACAGGGTCAGGGGCACGGCACGAGGGCTGCTGATGACAGCCGCCTGCTGCTGCCGCCTGGCCCAACAGGCCACCTCCTCCCCTCAGGCAGCCACTCCCACTCACCCCAGGAAGGGAGACAGGGCACCTACCACAGGGAGGGCCGGTGGGTGATGGAGAGCAGGGCAATGCCTGCGTCCTTGGCCGCCTGGAAGATCTTGCCTTCCACGTCGATGCTCATGGCACTGGTGCATTCATCCAGGAGGGTGTACTTGGGCCTGGGGGTCCGGGCCGAGAGGAGAGTCTGTGCACCCTCCAGGGCCCAACACCCCAACCCGGCTCAGGCTCCACTGAGCCCAGGCCTCCCCACAGCTGCTACTTCTCCTTCCAGGGGACCCCAGGGAGCCTGCCAGCCTGGAGTGCTCACCTGTGGTAGAACATGCAGGCCATGCCGATTCTCTGCTTCTTGCCACCCGGCAGGACGTCCTTCCAGTCACACATAGCCTCCCAACCTAGGCAGGGGCAATGGTCTTGGCTCAGTTCCACCAGTACCCAGACCTGGGGGCCAGCCGGGGAGCTGGGGGAGCTGCGGGAATGAGCTAGCTGTGAGGACAGGGCCCCTGTGCCTCTGCGTCCTTGTCTGACAGGCATTAATCATGGAGGAGTGGGGACTGGAATCGTGCCTTCCCCCAGAAGAGACATGGTGGAGTCCAAGCCCCAACACTTCAGTGTGACCTTATTTGGAGACAGGGCCTTCGCAGAGGTGATCACACTAAGATGAGGTCATCAGAGCGGACCCTAATTCAATATGAATGTGTCCTCATAAAAAGGGGGTGTGCGGGTAGAGGACGTGCACAGGGGAACACGAGGTGAAGATATACAGGGAGAAGTGGACCATCTGCGAGCCGAGGACAGAGGCCTGGAACACATACTTCTGTCATGGCACCCGGAAGGAACCCAACCTGCTGGTACCAGGATCTAGGACTGCTGGACCCAGGAGATGATCCACCCCTGCGGTTTATGGCAGCCCCAGGACACCCATACAGTTCCTTGGCACAGAGCTCCAGAGCGGCCTGAGTGATCTCCCCAGACCGGGGGCTTGTCACCCACAGGGGTTGGGCCTCCTGTCACTGCCCCGTGCCAGCACTTTGGCAAGGCTCGAGTGGGCTGCTTGAACAAGCAGGTGAGCCGGCTGCTCCATTGGGCCGGGGCGCTGCGGCAGAAGTGGCCCCTCCTGTCTTCTCGCCCATGCTGCCTTCCCCAGCGGCCCAGGGCTGGAAGTGGCGACAGGGTATATGGCCACCCAGAGTAGAGATTATGCTTCCCAGGTGGTCTTGTGGTGAGGTGTGAGCATGAGACTAAGTTGTGGCCAATGAGATATAACTGTAAGTATTCAATATGGTGGCTTCTGGAAACTTCCTTAAAAGATAGAAGGCACATACCTTTTGCCCCTTCCCTTCTACTTCCTCCATTCTACAGCCTGGGACGTGATGTGAGGGCTGTAGCAGCCCTCCTGGATCATGAGGTGACTTTGGGAATGGAGGCCACACACAGCAGAGTGACATGGTAGAAAATCCTAGAGACTTGGGGCCTTCACAGAGCAGGGCCAGCCCTGGCAACTGTGGCCTGGCTCTCTTGGGACCTAACAGCTCAGTAGGATAAACTCACAGATGATCTTAGCCACTACTGCGGGGAGGCCGGTTCTGTTCCTTGCAGCTCAACTCCATCCTAACGGCTCAAGCTGGCCAGCCACAGGCCCTGGGCATTCAGGCTGCCACAGAGGCGGGAGGGGCCATGTGCTCCCAGGCCGAGGGCAGCAGGAGCAAGAGGCAGGGCCAGGCCAGCGGCTGCTCCACCACCATCGCCACCTGCGTTCCCGCTTCCTCCACAGGCAGGTGACAACACCCTGGTCATTTCCTGCAGGAGCCACTTCTTCTCATGTTGCCACCGAGGGAGGGCTTGGGTGCCCATGCCCTTGAACCATGAAGGGGAGCCCCAGCAAGGCGAGGTCCTTGCCCAGGGCCATCTCGCACCCAGCAGTGGGGGCTGGAAGCAGAACCCAGAGGCTCAGAATTCAAAGACAGAACTGAACGCTCCGTCTACTGTGTCCCTGTAGCTGCACCCCCCTCTCCTCCTCAGCTCTCCCGGCCCGACAGACACTGTGGACACGCAGTATTCCTTGATAAGCCCAGGACAAGAAAACAGCTCAGTCTGGCCTCCTTTTCAGTGAACTCATCTCTGAATCCACCCGACTCTGCTGGCCCCAGCCCCCTCCAAGCATCTGCACAGACCTCCTGACAGTAGCCATCACTGCACACATGTGTCTGCTCCTCCCAGGCTGCCCCTGCCCACCACCCCACGGTCCTTCCAAGAGCGTCTGATCCCGCTCAGGGAAAGCCTAGGCTCCCGCCTGGTCCAGAGGGCCCTCTGTGAGCCAGCCTCTCACACCTCCAAGCCTGCAGGCCGCACTCTGCCCTGCTGCCCCTGGCTCCTGGACGGGGTAACCACTCAGCATTCTGCAGGGCTCAGCTCAGACCCCTTTTCTCTGGGAGAGGGTATCCTGGGTCCCCCAATGAGGTGCACATCCCTGCTAGGTGCCCCCTTCCCTAGAGCACCCATGCCACCTGGGGCCATCTGTGTGGTGTTGGTCCTCCCTGGTAGGCGGGCCTCAGAGGTAGCACCCTCTGCCCTGCCCCTGTGGCACCTGGCACTTTAGACTCCTGGATGTTGAGATAATCTTCACTCCCTGGAGGCCAAGGGAGAGGCCAGGGTGGGACAAAGGGCGGCTGCCAGCCCCAGGCCTCCTACCTCCCTCCCGCTGCAGGGTGTGGTGCGGGTGCACGATGTCCAGGATGGCTTCCAGGTCCTGCTCCGAGTAGCCGTTCCTTCGCATGTCCTCCACTGAGTCCGGGTAGATCACCTGGTCATGCAGGGAACCCACAGACATGTAGGGCCTGTGGGAAAGCTGGGTGTCCATGGAGGGAAGGGCCGGCCCTGCCTCCCCCAGGACACTCTGCGCCTCCCAGGCAGTGTAGATTCTGTCTGCTGTAGACAAAATAATGGCCCCCGAAAAATGTTCATGTCCTAATTCCCAGAGTCTAACATACAAATATGTTAGGTGGCTTGGCAGTGGGAAATTAGATTTCAAGTGAAATTAAGGTTGCAAAGGAGGGGGGGGTGCAAAAAGCCGTGTCGGGCAAAAAGCCGAGGCGGGGTGGGGGCAAACAGCCGAGGCGGGTAAAAAGCCGCGGGGGCAGGGGGTAAAAAGCCACCGCGGGGAAAAAGCCGCAGCGGCGGGGTGGCAAAAACCTGGGGCGGCCAAAAAGCCGCAGCGGCGGGGGCGCAAAAAGCCACGGCGGCGGGTGTGCAAAAATCCGCGGCGACAAAAAGCCGCGGCGGCGGAGGGGCAAAAAGCGGAGGTGGCGGGGACGCAAAAAGCCGCGGGAGCGGGGGGTGGGGGGGTTGTAAAAAGCCGCGGCGTGGTGGGGGGCAAAAAGCCGCGGCGGGGGGTAAAAAGCCGCGGCCAGCAAAAAGTCGCGTCGGCGGGGGACAAAAAGCAGCGGCGGCGGGGGGCCAAAAGCCGAGGCGGGCAAAAAGCCGAGGCGGGGTGGGGGCAAAAAGCCGAGGCGGGGTGGGGGCAAAAAGCCACGGCGGCAGGGGGTAAAAAGCCGCGGCAGGCAAAAAGTCGCGGCGGCGGGGGACAAAAAGCCGCGGTGGCGGGGGGCAAAAAGCCGTGGCTGGCAAAAAGCCGAGGCGGGGTGGGGGCAAAAAGCCGCGGCGGGCAAAAAGCGGAGGTGAGATGGGGGGAAAAAACCACGGCGGCGGGGGGGCAAAAAGCCGCGGCGGGTAAAAAGCCGCGGCGGCGGGGGTGGGGGGCAAAAAGCCGCGGCGGCGGCGGAGCAAAAAGCCGGGGCAGGCAAAAAGCCGCGGCGGCGGAGGGCAAAATAGTGGAGATGGGGTAGAAGGCCGGCACAGCTTGGCATTGCTGGAGTGTGATGTGATAGGAAATGTGCAGCCAAACACAAAAAAAGATGTAAGTAGGCTTGACTCATTGCAGCTAAGAACCCAGATGTTATCTTGAGGGTATTAACTAATAAGCAGTTTAAATCAGAATGGCACATTCTGATTTGTTTTTTGTATGTTCACATTTGGCAGGCATAGATACTGTTTGAAAAGAGAAAAGTCAGTAGATAGAGGTAATAAACTTAAATATGTGCCAAGTCTAGAAACAAGAGACTAGGGGGATAATGACCTTTCAAAATAAAATGCAAGATTTGAAAACTGATAGGCTGGTGGATGAGGAAAAGGCAGGTCTTTAAGGTCAATCCCTGTTTTGCTTTAAGTTGTTAGGGGGTGGTTTTATCACATATTGTAGAATATGTCATTTCAGTTTTGAACGTCTTGAGTTAAATTGTTCTAACATATCTTATGAATTTGATTTTCTTCCCTGGGAAGCTAATATTTCAAAAACTTAAAGAGTATAGATTTCCAACTTGTATCCAATTTATAAAACTATCTCTAGGCTGCTGATTTCAGGAGGAGGCTCGTGAATATTCTCTTCGCAGAGAATATATCAGGAGTTAACAACAGCTTCAATATTTGTGGACGACCATTTAACTAAGCCACCTTTTAGTGTATTTAGATGGGAAATCTTAGCTGAACGTATTCAATAATGAACCAACAGTGACTAAAAAATTCAATATTTAAGTATATTTCATTGTAATTAATTTGAATTGAAGTAGCCGTATACAGCTAGTATTTACTATATTGAACAATGCAAATAAGAGGACAAAATTAATAACCATCTCTAATACCGCATGCCAAAATCCTCATCAATTTATTCTAGCTAAAGGAGTTTATCAGAAGCAGCATTTGAAAGCACCAACTAAACCAGCTGGGGTTAGTTCACTGTCATTCTCTCAGAACCATCTCTTCTCTGAACAAAACAAGTACAAGAGTTCATTGTGAATCTGCATTCTCCTTGACTGTTTTAAGGTTTTGATGTTGACACTAATTTGTGAAATCCCTCCTGTGGTGTGATATTTCGTTTTCCTTGCTTTCTGATAGGACAAGAATAATTCAGCTCTTAATTTAAAATTATGTTTCTCCCTCCTAGGTTGAGTGAACTTAGAATGCATTCTCTGACATATCCAAGTTTTGTTAATATGAATTTGGGGAAAAAAGCATACTTAATTAGCTAAGACTTCTTATTCTAGGCTTGACCCTGTGTTCGACATCTTTTGAATTTGTAGTTGCATGGGCTGCTCTCTGACACTGGTTAGTGACCTGGAAGCTATATTAACGTTAGGGGAGGTGGTGTATGAGCATTAGAGGTATCCTTGCAAGGAAAGACTTGTCTTATCTCAATACGTCTTTTTTTGCACACAAGAAAGTCAGTGTTTGAGTCTTCTAAAATCTTCCTATTTCCAAGTTGCAGAGCACCATTGATTCTTAAACAAAGACCTAATTTTTGACTCAGAGACGTGGCAAGGTAGTGAATCACCATTATAATTTAACAATCTTCAAGATAAAATTATCTCTGATATTTAGATTTTGCCCAATTATTAAGATATTTGGGTGTTTCGTTAAGAATGGAAGACTCTAGTCTCTTGAGCAGAGACTATAAAGGCCTCAGATGATCATTTTTAATTTTATGCTCTTTTCTTTAACACCTTCAACACAGTTGGAAGCAGCCGATATTCCCCAGAATTGTGTTTTTTAAACCAAATGCATGGTTCAGTGGTAGAAAACTGGGCTGATCCAAGCTGTTTTCAGTAAACATTTCAGGTGACCTATTTCATATTAAATAATCTCTAGATCCTGTCTTCGAAACTAACTAGATCAGATAACCTACCCTGGTTTTTCTCCTTTTAGGGTCTGTGAGCTGCAGTCACTTTTGTGAAAATGATTGCGATGACAAGATAGAGTTGTAGATGGGGAAAATGTTTTGACTAATTTAAGCATAGTGGTATTTCATATGAGAATTTAAGTTACACACATTTGAAAATTATAATGGAGTCTCTTGGCTGAGCTTTAAAAAATATAGCATTTAGGCTAAAAAGGGAACTGCTACCTCTCCTAAGATCAGAAAGATGTTACAGTAATTCTCCATTCTCTAGAATTATCAGGAAGCACCTTTGTGATGATTTACTTTTGCTCTTGGGAGTGTGAGCCCGTGTAGTCGTGGAACCATCAATTAGAATGGTGGCTTTCTGATCCCAAAGTCATTCGTTCTGAAAACAATATTTTTCATAAATTTGAAAGTGAGAAGTTTTGATCTTGCCATTCCCAAGTAACTCTCTTAATGAGAGGCATCAGCATGCTTCAGTGACAGCTGTCACCTTCCAGTGCTGAGAGTCATCTTTGAGTTCTCCATTTCACTCCCTACACTCCAATTCAGCTGCAGTTCTCTTGGATAGTCCTATGAAATACATCCATGGCCTAACGACTTCTCACCACTACTACCACTCATCCTCACAGTATTCTCACCTAAGTCACTACCTGTTTTCTCTGGATTACAGTAGCCTCCCAATTTATTTGCTCACATAACCTATTTATTCTACACAGTGCACCAGATACACCCCTTTGAAATGCAAACACAATCATGTTATTCTCTGGTGAAATTATCTCATATATTCCTATCGCATTTAAAATTAATTCAGAATAATCCCATGATTATCAAAACCCTACATGCTCTTCCACAACATGGTTTACTTCCAAGATATCTCTTCTACTTTTTTTTCACTGTACTGAATTGGTGACTAATAGTCATATTTTTGTTTTTGCTCAAAAAGTCTTGACTTGTAAATTTTTCAGTTTCTCCTTTATCCACAGGTAACTCTTTCCACATAAGGCAAATTGCTTGCTTCCTTGAGTTCTGCTCTCAAAGATACCCTTCATTTTCTACCTAATATTAATAACTTTAATCATTCATTATTCCATTACTATGCTCTATAGTCTATACAATTTCTGTTCTTTGTCATGTTATTAACTAAATTATTTATTTGTTCCAGTAACGTATTCCATAAATATTGTACACATAAAAATTATGTTATTTTTATTGCTGTATGCTCAGCTGCCCAATAACAGTCTGAGGTTTAACATATTTGTTAAATGCACAAATACATTCTTTCACAAATATCAGTTTAATAATTTTATATTAAACTCCCTCTATACTTACAATATGAATTAGATAATTCAGAATAAACATTCCAGTGGAAAAAACTAAACAATTTGTTATAAAACATCCTTAAAAGCATCAGAAAGTTAATACAGCAATGAAGAATTACAGGACCAAATTAAGAATGGTATGGAAGCCTGTTTGTGAGGCTTATGTTTGGGTTATCTCTTTACTTAGAGTGACTATAAATCTCAAAAGAGAATTAAAGGAGAAATAACCATATCAACTCACATGGTAAGGGTATTTAAACATCTCTTAGTAATTGAGAAAATTGAAAGAAAAGAAAAAAGAGAAAGGGAGAAAGAGAAACAGAGTGAAAGGGATAATGAAGGAGAGACAGAAGAAGAGCAAGGAAGAGGAAGAAAAGTAAAAAGGAGGAGGAGGGGGAGGGAAGAAGAAAGAAAGGTGAAAAGAAAGAATGCTAAAGTTTTCAACAACATAATTTATCCTTCTAGAATATGAATGTTGGTCTATTTGATGATGTCTCACAAATTCCTTAGTCTCTGCTCATTTTTTATCTGTTTCTCAGAGTCAATATTTTCCATTTTCTTATCTTCAAGCTCATGACTTCTTCTGTATGTGCAAATATACTCTTAAATCCCTCTGGTGATTTTTAAATTTTTATCATTGTAGTTTTCCACTCCAGAATTTGTGCTATCTCTGTTGATATTCCTAATTTTTAATATTTTTTCTGATTCCTTTATTTCTTTGTTTATGTTTTCCTTTTGACATTTGAGTATAATTAAGAGAGTTGTTTTAAAGTCTTTGTCTAGTAAGTTTGATGTCTGAGTTCCCTTAGAGATATTCTCTGTCAATTTGTTTTGTTCCTTTGAATGAGCCATACTTTCCCATTCTTTGTATGCCTTGAAACTTTTTTTGAAAACTGTACATTATAATAATTATAATTACTATGTGGTTACTCTGTAAATCAGACACCCCTACAAACACAGTAATGTTTTGTGGTTTTAAATTTTCTTTACTTATTATATTGTTAAGGATTTTTTTTAAGTGAAATTTTCCAAAGTGATTTACAAAACTGTTTGCTTTATAAGGTGTCACTGAAGTCTTTTTGTTTCCATAACAAATGTTAAGCTAAAGTTTTGACAGTGATTTTCTTGTATGTCAGGAACCAATCAAACAGGCAAATACAAGAAAAACAAAAAGAAAAACAAGTAATCATTGTCCAGCAAAATATGTCTCTAGGCCATGCAGACTGGCTTTGTGATGGGTTCTTTAAAGCTGGCACAAAGTGTGTGTTCACTCTTGCACTGAGTGAAGTTCAAGTTCACTCTTGCACAGAGCTTGCACAGAGGGGAGGGATCGACCAAGGTAAAAGTGTAGGGTCTTCTTATGACATTTGTCAGCATGTGGCTTAACCTATGAATACATGTGACTTTCTATACTCTCCCATGTACGTGAATGATTTTGTATGTTTTAGTTTTTGAAATACTCTTCTCCAACTTTTCTTGCTGTGCTGAAGGTGATCTACTATAAGTGTAAACTCTAATTTTTGCCCTAAGCATCTGTGGCTTGTTAGGTTTCCTTGCAGTTTCTTAAAAATGTCCATTCCTTATCTGTTCTGTATTCTAGCAACACAGGAAAAAAAGCCTTTCATGAGTCATTTAGATATCCCCAGACCTGTCAGAATAGACACTCGAGTCCATTCGATGATTCCACTCGATTCCATTTGATGATGATTCCATTCGAGTCCATTCGATGATTTCATTCAATTCCATTCGATGATGATTCCATTCGAGTCCATTCGATGATTCTATTCGATTCCATTCGATGATGTTCCTTTTCATTTCCATTCGATGATGATTCAATTCAATTCCATTCAATGATGACTCCATTACATTCCATTTGATGATGATTCCATTTGATTCCTTTCGATGATGATTCCATTTGATTACATTTGGTGATTATTCCTTTCGAGTCCATTCGATGATGATTCCATTCCAGTACATTCGATGATGTTTCCATTCCACTCCATTCCATGATGATTCCATTCGTGTCCATTCGATGACGATTCCATTCCATTCCATTCGATGATGATTCCATTAAATGATTCCATTCGATTCCATTCGATGATGATTCCATTCGATTCCATTCAATTCCATTCTATGATGATTCCATTCAATTCCATTTGATGATGATTCCCTTAGAGCCCATTCGATGATTCCATTCGATTCCATTCGATGATGTTTCCATTTGATTCCATTAGATGATTCCATTCGATTCCATTCGAGGATGATTCCATTTGATTCCATTCAATGATTCCATTTGATTCCATTCGATGTTGATTCCATTCGAGTCCATTCGATGATTCCATTCGATTCAATTTGATGATGATTCCATTCAACTCCGATCCATGATTCCATTCGATTCCATTTGATGATGATTGCGTTCGAGTCCATTCGATGATTCCATTCGATTCCATTCAATGATGATTCCATTCGAGTCCATTCGATGATTCCATTCGATTCCATTCGATGATGATTGCATTAGACTTCATTGGATGATTCCATTCGATTCGACTCGATGATGATTCCATTCGATTCCATTGGCTGATGCCATTTGATTCCATTCAATGATTCCATTTGATGATTATTCCATTCGATTCCATTCAATGATTCCATTTGACGTTATTTCCATTTGATTCCATTCGATGATTCCATATGATTCCATTCAATGATTCCATTCGATACCATTCTAGGATTTCATTGGATTCCATTTGATGATTATTTCATTCGACTCCTTTCGATGATTCCGTTTGATTCCATTCGATGAGGATTCCATTTGATTCCATTTGATGATGATTGCATTCGATTCCATTTGATGATTCTTTTCGATTTCATTTGATGATGATTACATTCGATGATATCATTCAATTCCCTTTGATGATTATTCCATTCGATTTCTTTCAATGAATCCATTCAATTCCATTCGATGATGATTCCATTCAATTCCTTTTGATGATGATTGCATTCGATTCCATTCAATGATTCCATTCGATTCCATTCGATGATGATTCCATTCGATGATGATTCCATTCGATTCCATTTGATGATTCCATTCGATTCAATTCGATGATTCCATACTATTCCATTTGATGATTATTCCATTTGGTTCCATTCAATGATGATTCCATTCGATTCCTTTTGATGATTCCTTTTGATTCCATTCGATGATGATTCTACTCGATTCCATTTGATGATGATTCCATTCGATTCCATTCAGTGATTCCATTCGATGATGATTCCATTCAACTGAATTTGATGATTCCATTCGATTGAATTCGATGATGATTCCATTTCATTCCGTTTGATGATGGTTCCATTCAATTCCATTCGATGATGATTTCATTCGATTCCATTTGTTGAATCCATTCCATGATTCCATTGGATTCCATTCAATGATTCCATTCGATTCCATTCAATGATTATTCCATTTGATTCCATTCAATGATTCCATTGGATTCCATGCGATGATGATTCTCTTTGATTCCATTCCATTATTCCATTCGATTCCATTCGATGATGATTCCATTCGGTTCCATTTGGTGACTCCATTTGACACCATTCGAGGATTCCATTCGATTCCATTACATGATTATTCCATTTGATTCCTTCCAATGATTCCATTTGATTCCATTAGATGATGATTCCATTTGATTCCATTCGATGACGATTCTGTTTGATTCCATTCAATGATTCCATTCGATTATATTTGATGATGATTCCATTTGATTCCATTTGTTGATTCCTTTCGATTCCATTCGAGGATTCCATTCAATTCCATTCAATGATTATTCCATTCGACTCCTTTCGATGATTCCATTCAATTCCACTCTATGATGATTCCATTCGATAATGATTCCATTCAATTCCATTCGATGATTTCATTCGATTCCATTCAATCATTCCATTCGATTCCATTCGATGATGATTCCATTTGATTTCATTCAATGATTCCATTTGATTATATGCAATTATGATTTCATTCGATTCCATTCCATGATTCCTTTCAATTACTTTCGATGATGATTCCATTCAATTCCATTCGATGATTCCATTCGATTCCATTCTAGGATATCATTCGATTCCATTCAATGATTATTCCAATCGATTCCTATCAATGATTCTGTTCAATTCCATTCGATGATGATTCCATTCGATTCCATTCGATTATGGTTGCATTTGATTCCATTCGATGATTCTTTTCAATTTCATTCGATGATGATTCCATTCCATGATTCCATTTGATTCCATTCCATGATGATTCCATTCAATTCCATTCGATTTATTCCATTCGATACCATTCGATGTTTCATTTTGATACCATTCGATGATGATTCCATTAGATTCCATGTGATGATGATTCTATTCGATTCCATGTGAAGATGATTCCATTCAATACCATTTCATGATTGCATTCGATTCCATTCGATGATGATTCCATTCAATTCCATCAGATGACTCCATTCGATTCCATTTGATGATTCCATTCGATTCCATTCGATGATTCCATTCGATTCCATTCGATGATGATTCCAGTCGATTCCATTCGATTATGATTCCAATCGTTTCCATTCTATGATTCCATTCAATTCTATTCGATTATTCCATTCTATTCCATTCGAAGATTATTCCATTCAATTCCATTAGATGATTCCATTTGATTCCATGTGATGAAGATTCCATTCGATTCCATGTGAAGATGATTCCATTTGATTCCATTCCATGATTGCATTCGATTCCATTCGATGATGATTCCATCAGATGACTCCATTCGATTCCATTCGATGATGATTCCATTTGATTCCATTCGATGATGATTCCAGTCTATTCCATTAGATTATGATTCCATTCGATTCCATTTTATGATTCTATTCGATTCAATTCAATGATTATTCCGTTCGATTCCATTTGATGATTCCATTTGATTTCATGTGATGATGATTCCATTCGATTCCACTCCATGATTCCATTCGATTCCATTCGATGATGGTTCCATTCAATTCCATTCAATGATTCCACTCGATTCCATTTGATGATTCCATTTGATTCCATTCAATGATTATTCCATTCGATTCCTTTCAATGATTCTGTTCGATTCCATTCGATGATGATTCCATTCTATTCCATTCGATGATGATTGCGTTCCTTTCCATTCAATGATTCTTTTTGATTTCATTCAATGATGATTCCATTCGATGATTCCATTCGATTACATTCGATGATGATTCCATTTGATTCCATTCGATTTATTCCATTGGATTCCACTCGATGATTCCTTTCGATACCATTTGATGATGACTCCATTCGATTCCATGTGATGATGAGTCCATTGGATTCCATGCGATGATGATTCCATTAGATTGCATTTGATGATTCGATTTGATTCCATTTGATGATGATTCCATTCGATTCCATTGGATGACTGCATTCACATCATTTGATGATGATTCCATTCAATTCCATTCTATGATTCCATTCGATTCCATTCAATGATGATTCCATTCGATTCCATTCGATGATGATTGCATTCAATTCCATTCAATGATTCCGTTTGATTCCATTCAGTGATGATTTCATTCGATTCCATTAGATGATTGCATTCGATGATTCCATTCGCTTCCATTAGATGATTGCATTTGATGATTCCATTCGCTTCCATTCGATGATGATTCCATGCAATTCCATTCGATCATTCCATTTGATTCCATGTGAAGATGATTCCATTTGATTCCATTCAATGACTGCGTTTGATTCCATTCGATGATGATTCCATTTGATTCCATTCAATGATGTCATTCGATTCCTTTCGAGGATTTTATTCAATTGCATTTGATATTTATTCCATTCACTTCCTTTTGATGATTCCATTTGATTCCATTCGATGATGATTGGATTCAATGATGATTCCATTCAATTCCATTTGATGATTTTTTTGAATTTCATTCGATGATGATTCCAGTCGAGGATTCCATTGGATTACATTTGATGATTATTCCATTCTGTTCCATTTGATTTATTCCATTCAATTCCATTTGATGATTCCTTTCAATATCATTCAATGATGAATCCATTCGATTCCATGTGATGATGATTCCATTCAATTCCATTTGATTATTCTATTCGATTGCATGTGATGATGATTCTACTCAATTACATTCAATGATTCGATTGCATTCGAAGACAATTACATTAATTCCATTTGATGATTATTTTCGATTCCATTTGATGATGATTCCATTCAATTCCATTTGATGATTCCATTCAATTCCATTTGATGATGATTGCATTCGATTCCATTCGATGATTCTTTTCGATTTCATTCTATGATGATTCCATTCAATGATTCCATTTGATTCCATTTGATGATGACTCCATTCGATTCCATTAGATTTATTCCATTCAATTCCATTCGATGTTTCCTTTTGATACCATTCGATAATGATTCCATTCGATTCCATGTGATGATGATTCCATTTGATTCCATGGGATGATGATTTCATTCGATTCCATTCGATGATTCCATTTGATTCCATGTGATGATGATTCCATTCAATTCCATTCCATGATTCCATTCGATTCCATTCGATGATGATTCCATTCGATTCCATTCGATGATTCCATTCAATTCCATTCGATGATTCCATTCAATTCCATTTGATAATTATTCCATTCGATTCCTTTCGATGATTCCGTTCGATTCCATTTGATGATAATTCCATTCTATTACATTCTATGATGATTACATTTCTTTCCATTCGAGGATTCTTTTTGATATGATTCAATGATGATTCCATTCGATGATTCCTTTCGATTCCATTCGATGATGATGCCATTCGATTCCATTCAATTTATTCCATTCGATTGCATTCGATGATTCCTTTCGATACTATTTGATGATGATTCCATTTGATTCCATGTGATGATGATTCCATACGATTCCATGCAATGATGTTTCCATTCGATTGCATTTGATGATTCCATTTGATTCCCTTTGATGATGATTCCATTCGATTCCAATGGATGACTCCATTCACATCCATTCGATGATGATTCCATTTGATTCCATTCAATGATTATAGCATTCAATTCCATTCGATGATGATTCCATTCGATTCCATTCGATGATGATAGCATTTGATTCCATTCGATGATTCCGTTTGATTCAATTCAGTGATGATTTCATTCGGTTCCATTCGATGATTCCATTCGATTCCATTTGATGATTCCATTCACTTCTATTCAATGATGAATCCGTGCGATTCCATTCGATCATTCCATTTGATTCCATGTGATGATGATTTCATTCAATTCCATTCGATGATGATTTCATTCAATTCCATTCAATGATTCCATTCGATTTCATTTGAAGATTTCATTCAATTGCATTTGATGTTTATTCCATTCGATTCCTTTCGATGATTCCATTCAATTCCATTCAATGATGATTTCATTCAATTCCATTAGATGATGATTGCATTCAATTCCATTCGATGATTTTTTCAATTTCATTCGATGATGATTCCTGTTGATGATTCCATTCGATTGCATTCGTTGATGAATCCATTTGATTCCATTCTATGGTGATTACATTGAATTCCTTTCGATGATGTTTCCATTCAATTCCATTCAATGATGATTCCATTCGATTCTGTTCGATGATGATTCCATTCTATTCCATTCCATGATTCCATTCGATTCCATTCGATGATGATTCCATTCTATTCCATTCCATGATTCCATTCGATTCCATTCGATGACGATTCCATTAGATTCCATTCGATGATGATTCTATTCGAGTCCATTCAATGATTCCATCCGATTCCATTTGAAGATGATTCCATTCGGTTCGATTCTATGAAGATTCCATTTGATTCCATTCGATGATTCCATTTGACTCCATTCGATGATGATTCCATTTGACACTATTCAATGATTCCATTTGATTCCATTTGATGATGATTCCGTTCAACTCTGTTCAATGATTCCATTCGAGTCCATTCGATGTTTCCATTCGATTCCATTTGAAGATGATTCCATTCGAGTCCATTCGATGATTCCTTTCGAGTCCATTCAATGATTCAGTTTGGTTCTATTTGATGGTGATTCCATTGGATTCCATTTGATGATGATTCCATTCGATTCCATTCGATGATGATTACATCCGATTTCATTCGATGATTCCATTTGATTCCATTTGATGATGATTCCATTTGATTCCGTTCGATGCTGATTCCGTTCGATTCTATTGATTATGATTGCATTCAAGTCCTTTTGATGATTCCATTCCAGTCCATTTGATGATTCCATTCGAGCCCATTCAACGATGATTCAATTTGATTCTATTCGATGATGATTCCGTTTGAGTCCATTTGATAATTCCATTTGATTCCATTCCATAAGGATTCCATTCTTGTCCATTTGATGATTCCATTCGATTCCATTTGATTAGGATTCAATTCCAGTCCATTAGATGATTCCATTTGATTCATTTCGATGATGATACCAGTTGATTCCATTAGTTGATTCCATCTGATTCCATTTGATGATGATTCCATTTGTGTCCCTTTGATGATTCTATTCGAATCCATTTGATGATTGCTTTTGATTCCATTCGATGATGATTCCATTCTACTTCATTCAGTGATGATTCCATTCGTGTCCATTCTATGATTTAATTTGATTCCATTTGATGATGATTCCATTCGATTCCATTAGATGATTCTATTCGATTCCATTTGATGATTCCATTCGAGTCCATTTGCTGATTCCATTCGATTCCAATCGATGATTCCCTTCGAGTCCATTTGATGATTCCAATCGAGTGCATTCGATGTTCCTATTCTATTCCATTCGATGATGATTCCATTCGAGTCCATTCGATGATGATTCCATTTGATTCCATTAGATGATTCCATTCAATACCTCTCGATGATTCACTTCAATTCCTTTTGATGATGATTCCATTCAATGATTCCATTCGATTCCATTTGATGATGATTCCTTTCGATTCCTTTTGAAGGTGATTCCTTTTGATTCCATTTGATGATAATTACATACGATCCCAGTGATGACGATTGCATTCTAGTACATTCAATGATTCTATTCGAGTCTATTTGATGATTTCATTAGAGTCCATTCAATGATGATTCTATTCGTTTCCATTCGAGGATGATTCCATTCGAGTCCATTCAAAGAGGATTCCATTCGTGTCCATTCGATGTTTCCATTCGATTCCATTTGATGATGATTCCATTTGATTCCATTCCATAATTCCATTCAATGCCTTTCGATGATCATTCCACTAGAATCCATTCGAAAATTACCCCTTTAGGTTCCATTTGATGATGATTCCATTCAGTTCCATTTGATGATGATTCCATTAGATTCCATTCGATGATTCCATTTGATTCCCTTTATTCATGATTCTATTCTATTCCACTTGATGATCATTGTATTCGGTTCCATTTGATGATGATCCCATTCGATTCCATTTGATGATGATTCCATTGGATTCCTTTTGATGATGATTCCATTCGATTTCATTCGATGATTCTATTCGATTCCATTCGAAAATGATTCCATTCTATTCCTTTTGATGATTCCATTCGATTCCATTCGCTGATGTTTCCATTTGATTCCATTCCATGATGATTCCATTCGTTTCCATTCGATAATTCCATTCGATTCAATTCGATGATGATTTGATTCGAGTCTGTTAGATGATTCTATTTGATTCCAGTGGATGATGATTCCATTTGATGCCACTCGATGATTCCATTCGGTTTCATTTGATTAAGATTCCATTCGATTCATTTTGATGATTCCATTCATTTCAATTCGATGATGATTCCATTCGAGTAAATTCCATGATTCCATTTGATTCCATTCGATGATGATTCCATTTGAGTCCATTCATTGATTCCATTTGATTTCATTCGATGATGATTCCTTTTGATTCCATTCAATGATGATTCCATTAGAGTCCATTCGATGTTTCCATTCAAATCCATTCAATGATGATTCCATTTGAGTCCATTCAATGATTTGATTCGATTCCATTCAATGATTCCATTCAGTTCCATTTGATGATGATTCCATTGGATTCCCTTCGTTTATGATTCCATTCGTTTCCATTCGATGATTCCATTTGATTCTATTCAAAGATGATTCCATTTGATTCCATTCGATGATAATTCCATTCGATTCCTTTTGATGATGATTGCATTTGATTCCATTCAATGATGATTCCATTTGTTTCCATTTGATGATGATTCCATTCGATTCAATTCAACGATGATTCCAACCGAGTCCATTCGATGATTCCATTTGATGATGCTTCCATTCTATTCCATTCGTTGTTTCCATTCAATTCCATTCGATGATGATTCCTTTTGAATGCTTTCAATGATTCCATGTGATTTCATTCGATGATGACTCTATTTGATTCAATTTGATGATTCCATATGATTACATTCGATTATGATTGCATTTGATTCCATTCAATGATTCCATTTGATTCCATGCAATGATAATTCCATTCGAGTCTATTTGATGATTCCATTCGATTCCATTCAATGATTCCATTCGAATCCATTTGATGATGATTCCATTCGAGTCCATTCGATGATTCCATTCGAGTCCATTCAACAATGATTGTACTCGATTCCATTTAATGATTCCATTCAATTTCTTTCGATGATGATTCCATTCAATTCCTTTTGATGATTCCTTTCTATTCCATTTGATGATGATTCCATTCGAGTCCATTCGATGATTCCATTCGATTCCATTCGACAATGATTCCATTCATATCCTGTCATTGATTCCATTCGATTTCATTCGATGATGATTCCTTTTGATTCCATTCATGATGATTCCATTCGAATCCAATCGATGTTTCCATTCGATTCCATTCGATGTTTATTCCTTTCGATTCCATTTGATTATTCCATTCGAGTCCATTTGATGATTCCATTCGATTCCATTCAATGATGATTCCATCTGATGCCATTCGATGATTCCATTTGATTCCATTTGACGATGATTCCATTCGAGTCCATTCGATGACTCCTTTCAATTCCATTCGATGATTATTCCATTCGTGTCCATTCCAGGATTCCATTAGATTCCATTCGATGATGATTCCATCCGTGTCCATTTGATGATTCCATTGAATTCCATTCGATGATTTCATTCGATTCCCTTCGATGATGAGTCCAGTCTACTCATTTCAATGATGATTCCATTTGATTCAATTCGATGATTTTCCATTCGAGTCCATTCACTGATACCATTCGATTCCAAAAGATGATTCCCTTCGAGTGCATTCGATGATTCCATTCGAGTGCATTCGATGATTCCATTCTATTACATTCGATGATGATTCCATTCGAGTCCATTCGGTGCTGATTCCATTCAATTCCATTCGGTGATTCCATTCGAATCCATTCGATGATTCAGTTCTATTCCTTTTGATGATGATTCCATTCAATTCCATTCAATGATTCCATTCGATTCCATTCGATGATGATTCCATTCACTTCCTTTTGAAGATGATTCCTTTCGATTCCATTTGATGATAACTACATTCGATCCCATTGATGACGATTGCATTCTAGTCTATTCGATGATTCCATTCGAGTCTATTCGATGATTTCATTCGAGTCCATTCAATGATGATTCTATTCGATTCCATTTGAGGATGATTCCATTCGATTACATTCGATGATGATTCCATTCGATTTCATCTGATGATGATTTCAATCAAGTCCATTCCATGATTCCATTCAATTCCATTCGATGATTGTTCCATTCGAGTCCATTCGATGATTCCATTCCATTCCATTCGATGATGATTCCATTCAATGACATTCGATGATTCCATTCGATTCCATTCAATGATGATTCCATTCGAGTCCATTCGATGATTCTATTAGATTCCATTTGATGATGATTCCATTTGAGTCCATTCGATGATTTCAATCGATTCCATTCGATGATGATTCCATTCGAGTCTATTCGATGATTCCATTCGATGAGGATTCCAATCGAGCCCATTCAATGATTCCATTCAAGTCCATTCGATTATTCCCTTAGATTCCATTCCTTGATGATTCTATTTGATGCCATTCAATGATTCCATTTGATTCCATTCGATGATGTTTCCATTCGAGTCCATTCGATGATTCCATTCGATTCCATTTGTTGATTGCATTCTTCTCCATTCGATTATTCCATTCGAGTCCATTCGATGATTCCATTTGATTCCATTTGATGATAATTCCATTTGAGTCCATTCGATGATAATTCCATTCGAGTCCATTCGATGATAATTCCATTCAATTCCATTCGATGATTCCATTCGATTCCATTCCATGATTCCCTTCGATTCCTTTCTATGATGATTCCATTCGATTCCATTCATGATGATTCCATTTGATTCCAATCATGATGATTCCATTCGATTCCAGTTGATGATGACTGCATTCGGTTCTATTTGATGATGATTCCAACGGACTCCATTCGATTTCTCCATTTAATTCCATTCGATGATGATTCCATTTGAGTCCTTTCGATGATTCCATTGGATTCCATTTGATGATTCCATTCGAGTCCATTCGCTGATTCCATTCGATGATGATTCCAATCGAGTCCATTCAATGATTCCATTTGAGTCCGTTCGATTATTCCCTTAGATTCCATTCCTTGATGATTCTATTCGATGCCATTCAATGATTCCATTTGATTCCATTCGATGATGTTTCCATTCGAGTCCATTTGATGATTCCATTTGATTCCATTCGATGATTCCATTCTTCTCCATTCGATTATTCCATTCGAGTCCATTCAATGATTCCATTCGAATCCATTCGATGATAATTCCAGTCGAGTCCATTTGATGATGATTCCATTCGATTCCATTCGATGATTCCAATCGATTCCATTCCATGATTCTCTTCGATTCCTTTTGATGATGATTCCATTCCATCCCATTCGATGATAATTCCATTTGATTCCATTCCATGATTACCTTCGATTCCATTCCATGATTACCTTTGATTCCTTTCGATGATGATTCTATTTGATTCCATTCGATGATGATTCCATCTGATTCCATTCGATGATTCCATTTGATTCCATTCGATGATGATTCCATTCGTTTCCATCTGATGATGATTCCATTCGATTCCATTTGATGATTCCATTCGAGTAAATTCAATTTTTCCATTTGATACCATTCGATGATGATTCCATTTGAGTCCATTCCATGATTCCATTCGAGTCCATTCAATGATTCCATTCGAGTCCATTCAATGATTCCATTTGTTTCCATTTGATGATGATTACATTCGAGTCCATTCGATGTTTCCATTTGATTCCATTTGATGATGATTCCATTCGAGTCCATTCAATGATTCCATTCGATTCCATTCAATGAAGATTCCATTCTAGTACATTCGATGATTATTCCATTC
This sequence comes from Homo sapiens, assembly GCF_000001405.40. NCBI lineage: Eukaryota > Metazoa > Chordata > Mammalia > Primates > Hominidae > Homo > Homo sapiens. Next base: position 341,978 of record NW_021160024.1, on the reverse strand, counting down.
GATTCTATTCGATTATTCCTTGTGATTCCATTTGATGATGATTCCATTCGAGACCATTCAATGATTACATTGAATTCATTTGATAATGATTCCGTTCAATTCCATTCAATGATTCCATTAGATTCCATTTGATGATGGTTCCATTCAATTCCATTTGATGATGATTCCATGCGATTCCATTCGATGATGACTCCTTTCGGTCCATTCGATGACGATTCCATTTGGTTGCATTCAATGATGATTCCTTTGGATTCCATTCCATGATGATTCCATTCGATTCCATTTGCTGATGATTCTTTTCTATTCAAGTCGGTGATGATTCCATTCGATTGCATTCGATGATGTTTCCATTCAATTCCATTCAATGATTCCATTCGTTTCCATTCAATGATGATTCCATTCGAGTTCATTGATTATTCCATTACATTCCATTCGATGATTCCATTAGAGTCCATTCGATGATTCTATTCGATTCCATTCAATAATTCCATTCGATTCCATTTGATGATGATTCCATTCGAGTCCATTCGATGATTATTCCATTCGATTCTATTCGGTGATTACATTCGATTGCATTTGATAATTATTCCTTTCGAGACCATTCGATGATTCCATTCAATTCATTCTGTGATGATACCATTCAATTCCATTCAATGATTCAATTTGAGTCCATTTGATGATTCCATTCGAGTCTATTCAACAAAGATTCTGTTCAATTCCATTCGATGATGATTGCATTTGGGTCCATTTGATGATTCCATTCACTTCCATTCGATGGGGATTCCATTCGTCTCCATTTGATTATTCCATTCGATTCCATTCAATGAGGATTCCATTACTGTCCATTAGATGATTCCATTTGATTCCATTTGATGATGATTCCATTCGATTCCATTCGTTAATTCCATTTCATTCCATTGGATGATGATTCCATTCATGTCCATTTGATGATTCTTTTCGAATCCATTCGATTTTTGCTTTTGATTCCATTTGATGATGATTCCATTCGATACCATTCTATGGTTCCATTTGATTCTATTCGATGATGATTCCATTTGATTTCATTGGATGGTTCTATTTGATTCTGTTTGAGATGATTGCATTCGATTCCATTCGATGATTCAATTCGATTCCATTCGATGATGATTCCATTCGATTCCATCCGATGGTTCCATTCGATTCCATTTGATGATTCCATTTGATTCCATTCGATGATGATTCCATTGGATTCCATTTGATGACTCCATTCCATTCCATTCAATGAGGATTCCATTCGATGTCATTCAATGATTCCATTCGATTCCATTTGATTATGATTCCATTCCAGTACCTTCGATGATTCCATTAGATTCCATTTGATGATGATTCCATTCGAGTCCATTCGATGATTCCATTCCATTCCATTCGATGATGATTCCATTTGAGTCCATTCGATGATTCCATTCCATTCCATTCGATGATGATTCCACTCGAGTCCATTCGATGATTTCATTCCATTCCATTCAATGATGATTCCATTTGAGTCCATTTGATGATTCCATTCGATTCCATTCGATGATGATTCCACTCGAGTCCATTCGATTATTCCATTCGAGTCCATTCGATTATTCCTTAAGATTCCATTCATTGATTATTCTATTCAATGTCATTCGATGATTCCATTCGATTCCATTCAATGATGATTCCATTTGAGTCCATTCGATGATTCCATTTGATTCCATTAAATGATGATTCCATTCGTGTCTATTCAATTATTCCATTTGATTCTATTCCTTGATGATTCCATTCGAGTCCTTTTGATGATTCCATTCTTTTCCATTTGATGGTGATTCCATTTGAATCCATTCGATGATTCCATTCGATTCCATTCTATGATTCCCTTCTATCCCATTTGATGATTCCCTTTGATTCCATTCGATGATCATTCCATTCAATTCAGTGATCCCATTGGATTCCATTCAATGATGATTCCATTAGATTACACTCCATGATGATTCCATTCGGTTCCATGTGATGATGATGCCATGAGATTCCATTCGATGATTCCATGCTATTCCATTCGTTGATGATTCCATTTGATTCCATTAGACGATGATTCCATTCGATTCCATTCGTTGATGATTCCATTCGATTCCATTCGATGATGATTCCGTTCCTTTTCATTTGATGATTCTATTCGATTGCATTCGATGATGATTCCTTTCTATTCCATTTGATGATTCCATTCGATTCTATCCAATGAGGATTCAAATAGATTCCGTTTGATGATGATTCCATTCAATGATGTTTCCATTCGATTCCATTCGATGTTTCCATTCGATTCCATTCGATGATGATTCCATTCGATTCCATTCGATGATTCCATTTGAGTCCACTTGATGATTCCTTTCGGTTCCATTTGATGATGATACCATTGGATTCCATTCATTGATGATTCCATTTGATTCCATTCCATGATGATTCCATTCGAGTCCATTTGATCATGATTCCGTCGATTCTTTTCGATGATTCCATTCAATACCATTCGATGATGATTCCATTTGTGTCCATTCTATGATTCCATTTCATTTCATTAGATGATGATTCCTTTGGTTTCCATTCAATGATGGTTCCATTCGAGTCCATTCAATTTTTCCATTCGATTTCATTCGATGATGATTCCATTCGAATCTATTCAATGATTCCATTTGAGTCCATTTGATGATTCCATTCGGTTCCATTTGATGATGATACCACTGGATTCCATTCTTTGATAATTCCATTCAACTCCATTCGATGATGATCCCATTTGATTCCATTCGATGATGATCCCATTTGATTCCATTCGATGATGATTCCACTCGATTCCATTCGATGATGATTCCATTCCATTTCATTCGATGATGATTTCATTCAAGTCCATTTGATGATTCCATTCGATTCCATTCAATGCTGATTCCAATCGAGTCCATTCGATGATTCCATTAGAGTCCATTCGATGATTCCATTTGAGTCCATTTGATGATTCCATTCAATTCCATCCAATGATGATTCCATTCAAGTCCATTCAATGTTTCCATTAGATTCCTTTCGATGATGATTCCATTCGAGTCCATTCAATGATTCCATTCGAGCCCATTTGATCATTCCATTCCATTCCGTTTGATGATGATTCCATTGGATTCCATTTGTTGATGATTCCATTCGATTCCATTCGATGATGATTCCATTTGATTCCATTTGTTGATGATTCCATTATATTCCATTCGATTCTGATTCCATTCGATGATGACTCCATTTGTTTTCATTCAATGTTTCTATTCAATTCCATTCGATGATGATTCCTTTCTATTCCATTTGATGATTCCATTCGATTCCATCCGATGAGGATTCAAATCAATTCCGTTTGATGATGATTCCATTCAATTCCATTCAATGAAAATTCCATTCGTGTCCATTTGATTATTCCATTCATTTTCATTCGATGATGATTCCATTCGCATCCATTAGATGACTCCATTCGATTCGATTCGATGATGATTTCATTCGATGCCATTTGATGATTCCATTTGATTCCATTCGATGATGATTCCATACGATTCCATTCGATGATTCCATTCGATTATGATTGCATTCAATTCCATTCACTGATTCCATTTGATTCCATTTGATGATGATTTCATTCGAGTCCATTTGACGTTTCCATTCCATTCCATTCAATGATGGTTCATTCGATTCCGTTTGATGATTCTATATGATTCCATTTGATGATTCCATTCGAGTCCATTTGATGATTCCATTCGATGAAGTTTCCATTCAAGTCCATTTGATGATGATTCCATTGGATTCCATTCGATGATTTCTTTCTATTCCATTCAATGATTCACTTCGATTCCTTTAGATGATGATTCCTTTCAATTCCATTCGATGATGATTCCATTCTATTCAATTCGATGATGATTCCATTCGATTCCATTCGATAATTCCATTTGATTCCATTAGATGATGATTCCATTCGATTCCATTTGTTGATTCCATTCGATTCCTTTGGATGATGATTCTTTTCGAATCCATTTGATGGTGACTCTATTCAATTCCATTCGATTATTCCATTAATTTCCATTCGATGATGATTGCATTGCATTCCATTCGATGATTGCATTCGATTCCATGTGATGAGTATTCCATTCGAGTCCATTCGATGATTCCATTTGATTCTATTCCATGAGGATTCCATTCGTGTCCATTCTATGACACAATTCGATTCCTTTCAATGAAGATTCCATTCCAGTTCATGAGATGATTCCATTCGATGATGATTTCATTTGATTCCTTTCGATTTTTCCATTCGATTTCATTCGATGATGTTTTTATTCGAGTCCATCGATGATTCCATTCGATTCCATTCAATGATTATTCCTTTCGAGTCCTTTCAAAGATTCCATTCGATTCCATTAGATTATGATTCCATTCGGATCCATTCGATGATTCTATTAGATTCCATTCGATGATTCCATTCTATTCCATTCGATGATTCCCTTCGATTCCATTTGATGATCATTCCATTCGATTCCATTCGATGATTTCATGTGATTCCAATCAATGATGATTCCATCCGAGGCCATTCGATGATTCCATTTGATTCCATTCAATGGTGATTCCATCCGATGCCATTCAATGATTCCATTCGATTTCATTCAATGATGATTCCATTCGATTTCATTCAATGATGATTCCATTCGATTCCATTTGATGGTGATTCCATTCGAGTCCATTCAATGATTCTGTTCAGTTCCATTCGATGACAATTGCATTCGAGTCTATTCGATGATTCCATTCGAATCCATTCGATGATGATTCCATGCAATGATTCCATTCGATTCCATTCTATGATTCCATTTGAGTTCATTTGATGTTTCCATTTGATTCCATTTGATGATTGCATTCGATTCTATTTGATGATGAGTCCATTCTATTCAATTCCATGAGTATTCCATTCGATTCAATTCGATGATATTTCCATTCGAGTCCATTCGATGATTCCATTCGATGATTCCATTCCATTGCATTAGATGATGGTTACATTCACTGCCATTCGATGATTCCATTCAATTCCATTTGATGATGATTCCATTTGAGCCCATTCAATGATTCCATTCGATTCCATTTGATGATTATTCCATTCTATTCCATTCGATGATTCCATTCAATTCCATTTGTTGATGATTCCATTCGATGATTCCATTCCATTCCATTCGATGATGATTCCAATCGAGTCCATTTGATGATTCCTTTCGATTCCATTCGATGATGATTCCATTAAAGTCCATTCAATGATTCCATTCGATTCCATTCAATGATGATTCCTTTTGAGTCCATTCAATGATACCATTTGATTCCATTCGATGATGATTCCATTTGAGTGCACTCCATAATTCCATTCATTTCCGTTCGATGATTGTTCCATTCAATGCCATTCCTTGATGAATCCTTTCCATTCCATTTGATGATGACTCCTTTTGATTACATTTGTTGATGCTTCCATTCGATTCCATTCGATGATGACTCCATTCAATGATGATTCCATTCAATTCCATTAGATGATTCCTTTCAATGATTATTCCATTCAATTCCATTCCATGATTATTCCCTTCGATTCATTTTGATGATGATTCCATTCAATTCCATTAGATGATGATTCCACTCAAGTCCGTTTAATGATTCCATTCGCTTGCATTCAATCATTCCATTCGAGTCCATTCAAAGATTCCGTTAGTTTCCATTAGATGATGATACCATTCGAGTCCATTCCATGATTCCATTCAATTCCATTTGATGATGATTCCATTCGAGTCCACTCAATGATTCCATTCGATTCTACTCGATGATGATTCCATTCGATTCCATTCGATGATCATTCCATTCGATGCCATTCAATGATTCCATTCATGTCCATTCGATGATTATTCCATTTGAGTTCATTCGATGAGTCCATTCGATTCCATTCGATGATGATTCCATTCGTTTCCATTCAATGGTGACTCCATTCGATTGCATTTGATGATGACTCCTTCCAATTCCATTCTATGATTCCATTTAATTCCGTTCGATGATGATTCCATTCGAGTCCATTCGATGATTTCATTCGATTCCATTCTATTATTCAATTCGTTTCCATTCGATGATGATTCCATTCGATTCCATTCAATGATAATTAGATTCGATTACTTTTGATGATTCTATTCGATTCCATTGATGATTCCTTTCAAGCCCATTTGATGATTTCATTCGAGTCCATTCGATGACTCCATACGATTCCATTTGATGATGATTCCATTAGAGTAAATTTGATGATGATTCCATTCGTTTCCATTTGATGATTCCATTCGATTCCATTTGATGATTCACTTCGATTCCATTTGATGATGATTCCATTCGATTCCATTTGATGATTCCATTCAATTACATTTGATGACGATTCCATTCGATTCCATTCGATGATGATTCCATTAGTTTCCATTCGATGATTCCATTCAATTCCATTAATTGATGATTATTCTATTCGATTCCATTCGATGATGATTCCATTTGATTCCATTCGATGATTCCTTTCGATTCCATTTGATGATTCACTTCGATTCCTTTTGATGATGATTCCATTCGATTCCATTCGGTGATTCCAATCGATTCTATTCGATGATCATTCCATTCGACTCCATTCAATGATGATTCCATTCGAGTCCATTCGAAGATTCCATTTGATTCCATTTGATGATGATTCCATTCGATACCATTCTGTGATCCCACTCTATTCCATTCAATGATGATTCCATTCGATTCCATTTGATAATTCCATTCGATTCCATATGATGATTATTCCATTCGTTTCCGTTTGATGATTCCATTCGATTTCATTCAATGATGTTTCCATTAGAGTCCATTCAATGATTCCATTCCATTCCATTCGATGATTATTCCATTAGAGTTCATTCGAAGATTCCTTTCAATTCAATTTGGTGATGATTCCATTCGAGTCCAATTGATGATTCCTTTCAATTCTGTTCGATGATACCATTCGATTCCATTTGATTATTCCCATTGATTCCATTCGATGTTCATTCTATTCTATTCCAGTCGATCGTTCCATTCAGTTCCATTCGATGATGATTCCATTCGATGACGATTCATTTGTTTCCATTTGATGATGACTCCATTCGATTCAATTCGGTGGTGACTCCATTAGGTTCCATTTGATGATGATTCCATTCTGTCCCATTCGATGATGATTCCATTAGATTCTGTTCGATGATTCCATTTGATTACATTCGTTGATGGTTTCATTCAATTCCATTCGATGATGATTCCATTCAATTCCATTCGATGATGATTCAATTCGATTTCATTCAATAATTCCATTCGATTCCATTCGATGATGATTCCATTCTGTTCCATTCGATGATTCCATTCGATTCCATTCGATGATGATTCCATTCGAGTCCATTCCATTCCATTCCATTCGAGTCCATTTCATTCCACTACATTCCATTCCATTCGAGTTCATTCCATTCCGTTACATTCCATTCCATTCGAGTCCATTCAATTCTATTCCATTCCAATCGATTCCATTCCACTCCATTGCTTTTGAGTCCATTCCATTCCATTCGAGTGCATTCCTTTCCATTGCATTCGAGTCCATTCCATTCCATGCTATTCCATTTGAGTCCATTCCATTCCATTCAATTCGAACCCATTCCATTCCATTCCATTCCATTCCATTCCATTCCATTCCATTCCATTTTAGCACAATCCATTCCATTCCATTCAATTCGAGTCCATTCCATTCCAATCCATTCCATTCAGGTCCAATCCATTCAATCCCACTCGAGTCAATTCCATTCCATTCCATTCGAGTCCATTCCATTGCATTCCATTCCATTCGAGTCCATTCCATTCCATTCGAGTCTATTCCATTCCATTCGAGTCCATTCCACTCGAGTCCATTCCATACCATTACATTCCCTCCGACTCAAATCCATTCCATTCCATTCCATTCCATTCGAATCCACTCCTCTCCATTCCATTCGAGTGCATTCCGTTCCATTCCTTTCCACTCGAGACCTTTCCATTCTATTCGAGTCCATTCCATTCTGGTGAATTCCTTTCCATTCCATTCTATAACAGTCCATTCCATTCCATTCCATTCATGTCCATTCCATTCCATAACATTCGAGTCCATTCCATTCAATTCAACTCCATTCGTGTCCATTCCATTCCATTCCACTTGAGTCCATTCCATTCCATTCCATTCGAGATCATTCCATTCCATTCCAATCTATTCGAGTCCATTCCATTACATTCGAGTCCATTCCATTCCATTTCATTTGAGTCCCTTCCATTCAATTCCATTCATTTCCACTTGAGTCCATTGCATTCCATTCCATTCCATTTGAGTCCATTCCATTCCATTCCATTCCATTCCTCTCCATTCCATTACATTTCATTTCATTCCATTCCGTTCTATTCCTTTTGGCTCCATTCCATTCCATTCCATTCAAGTCCACTCCAATCCATTCGATTCGAGTCTATTCCATTACATTGCATGCCATTCGAGTTCATTCCACTGCATTCCCTTTCATTCGAATCTATTCCATTCCATTCCACTCCAATCTATTCCATTCCATTTGAGTCCATTCCAGTTCGTTCGAGTCCATTCCATTCCATTTCATTCAAGTCCACTTCATTCCACTAAGTTCCGTTCGATTCCATTCCATTCCATTCCATTCCATTCCATTCCATTCCATTCCTTTCCATTCTTTTCGGGTCCATTCAATTCAAATGCATTCCATTTGATTGCATACCATTCCATTCCATTCCATTCCGTTCCAATCCCTTCCATTCCGTTCAAGTCCATTCCATTCCATTCCATTCCATCGAGTCCATTTCATTCCATTACATTCCATTTCGTTCGAGTTCATTCCATTCTGTTACATTCCATTCCATTCGAGTCAATTCAATTCCGTTCCATTCCATTCGAGTCCATTCCACTCCATTCCGTTCGAGTCCATTCCATTCCATTCGAGTCCATTCCATTCCATTGCATTCGAGTCCATTCCATTCCAATGTATTCCATTTGAGTCCATTCCATTCCATTCCATTTGAATCCATTCCATTCCATTCCATTCCATTCCATTTGAGCCCAAACCATTCCATTCCATTCAATTCGAGTCCATTCCATTCCAATCCATTCCACTCGGGTTCACTCCATTCAATTGCATTAGAGTCAATTCCATTCCATTCCATTCGAGTCCATTCCATTCCATTCCATTCAATTCGAGTCCATTCCATTCCATTCCATTCGAGTCCATTCCATTCCATTCCTTTCGAGTCCATTCAATTCCATTGGATTCCATTCCATTCCTTTCCATTCGATTCCATTCCATTGCATTCCATTCCATCCGCGTCTATTCCATTCTATTACATTGGAGTCCATTCCATTCCATTCCATTAGAGTCCATTACATTAAATTCTATTGTATTCCTTTCGAGTCCATTCCATTCCATTCCATTCTATTCCATTCAAGTCCATTCCATTCCATTGCATTCCATACCATTCCAATCCTTTCCATTCCATTCCATTCCATTGCATTCCATTGCATTCGTGTCCTTTCCAATCCATTCAATTCGTTTCCATTCCATTCCATCCTATTCCATTCATGTGCTTTCCTTTCCATAGCTTACCATTCCATTTCATTCCTTTCCATTCCATTCCATTCGTTTCCATTCCAATCGATCCCATTCCATTCGTGTCAGTTCCATTCCATTCCATTGGACTTCATTAAATTCCATTCCGCTCCATTCGGGTCCATTCCATTCCACTGCATTCCATTCGCCTCCATTTCTTTCCATTCTATTCCATTCCATTCTGGTTCATTCCAATTCATTCCATTCCATTCGAGTCCATTCCTTTCCATTCCTTTCCATTTCATTCAGGTTCATTCCATTCCATTCTATTCGAGACCATTCCATTCCATTCCTTTCCATTTCATTCAGGTTCATTCCATTCCATTCTATTCGAGACCATTCCATTCCATTCCATTCCATTGGATTCCATTCCATTCCATTCCATTCGATTCCATTCCATTCCATTCCATTCGATTCCATTCCATTCCATTCCATTCCATTCGATTCCATTCCATTCCATTCCATTCAATTCGATTCCATTCCATTCCATTCCATTCCATTCGATTCCATTCCATTCCATTCCATTCAATTCGGGTCCATTCCATAGCACTCCATTCCATTCGAATCCATTCCATTCTATTCCATTCGATTCCATTACATTCCATTCTTTTCGAGTACATTCCATTCCATTCTATTCTATTCCATTCGATTCCATTCCATTGAATTCCATTCCATTCGTGTCCATTCCGTTCCATTCGAGTCCATTCCATTCCGTTCTATTTGATTTAAGTTCTTTCCATTCTGTTCCATTTGAGTCCATTCCATTCCACTCTATTACATTCCATTCCATTAGAGTTCATTCAGATCCATTCCATTCCATTCGAGTCCATTCCATTCCAATCCATTCCTTTCGGTTCCATTCCTTTCAATTCCATTCAAATCAATTCCATTCCATTCCATTCGAGTCCTTTCCATTGCATTCCATTCCATTCCTTTTGAGACGGTTCAATTCCATTCCATTCCATTCTAGTCCATTCCATTGCATACCATTCCATTGGCATCCATTCCATTCTATTCCATTCGAGTCCATTCCATTACATTCCATTAGAGTCCATCACATTCCATTAAATTACATTGTATTCCATTCAAGTCCATTCCATTCCATTCTATTCAATTCGTCTCCATTCCATTCCATTCGAATCCATTCCATTCCATTCCATTCATCTTCATTCCATTCCATTCGAATCCATTCCATTCCTTTCGAGTCCATTCCATTCCATTCCATTCCATTCTATTCCATTCAAGTCCATTCCATTCCACATCATTCCATTCCATTCCAGTCCATTCCATTCCAGTCGAGTCCATTCCATTCCATTCCATTCGAGTCCATTCCATTCCATTCCATTCCACTCCAGTCCATTATATTCAATTCCATTTGACTCCTTTCCATTCCATTCCATTCCATTCCTTTAAGGTCCATTGCATTCCATTCCATTCGAGTTCATTTCATTCCATTCCATTCCATTCCTGTCCATTCCATTCCATTCCATTCCATTCCATTCCATTCCAGACACTTCGTTTCAATTCCATTCCATTCCTTTCGAATCCATTCCATTCCATCCGAGTCCATTCCATTCCATTCCATTCGATACCATTCCATTCCATTCCAGACACTTCGTTTCAATTCCATTCCATTCCTTTCGAATCCATTCCATTCCATCCGAGTCCATTCCATTCCATTCCATTCGATACCATACCATTCCATTTGAGTCCATTCCGTTCCATTCTATTCCATTCCATTGTATTCCATTCCAATCCATTCCATTCCCTTCCATTTGAGTCCATTGCAATTCATTCCATTCGAATCCATTCCATTTCCACCCATTTCATTCGAGTCCATTCCATTCGATTCCATTCGAATTCATTCCATCCAATTCCATTCCATTCGTGCACATGCCACTCTATTCCATTCCATTCCATTTGAGTCCATTCCATTCATTCCATTCCATTTGGGTCTATTCCATTCAATTTCGTTTGAGTCAATTCCATTCCATTGCATTCGAGTCCATTCCATTGCAGTCCATTGCATTCGAGTCCTTTCCATTCCATTCCATTTGAGTCCATTCCATTGCATTCCATTCCATTCGAATGCCTTCCATTCTGTTCCATTTGATTCCATTCCATTGTATTCCATTACATGCTTTTTGAGTCCATTCCATTCCATTCCATTCCATTCCAGTGCATTCCACTCTATTCCATTCGAGTCCATTCCATTCCATTCCATTAGAGTCAATTCCATTGAATTCCATTGTATTCCATTCGAGTCCTTTCCGTTACATTCCATTCCTGTTTGTGTCCATTCCATTCCATTCGAGTCCATTCCTTTCAATTCCTTTCGAGTCCATTCCATTCCATTCCATTCTATTCCATTCAAATCCATTCCATTCCACATCATTCCATTCCATTCCATTCCATTCCATTCCGTTCCATTCCATTCCATTCGGGTTGCTTCCATTCCATTCAATTCGAGTCCATTCCATTCCAATCCATTCCATTCCATTTCATTCTAGTCCATTCCATTCCATTCCATTCAAGTCCATTCCATTCTATTCCATTCCATTCCATTCCATTCCAGTCCATTCCATTCCATTCCAGTCCACTCTAGTTGTTTCCATTCCATTCCATTCCTTTCGAGTCCATTCCATTCCGTTCAAGTCCATGCCACTCCATTCCATTCATGTCCATTCCATTCCATTCAATTCCTTTCCTGTCCACTCTAGTTGTTTCCATTCCATTACATTCCTTTTGAGTCCATTCCATTCCATTCAAGTCCATGCCATTCCATTCCATTCGTGTCCATTCCATTCCATTCAATTCCATTCCTCTCGAGTCCATTCCATTCCATTCCATTCCATTCGAGTCCATTCCATTCCATTCTATTCCATTAAATTCCATTCCATTCCATTCCATTCAATTCCATTCCATTCCATGCAAATCCATTCGACTCCATTTCATTCCGTTCCATTCTAGTCCATTCCATAACATTACATTCTGTTCGATTGAAGTCCATTCCATTCCATTCCATTCCCTTTGTGTCCATTCCATTCCATTCGAGTCCATTCCATTCCATTCCATTCGAGTCCATTCCATTCCATTCCATTCGAGTCCATTCCATTCCCTTCCATTCCATTTTATTCGAGTCCATTCATTTTTATTCCATTCGAGTCTATTCCTTTGCATTCCATTCGAGTCCATTCCATTCCATTCCTTTCCATTCCAGTCCATTCAATTCCTTTCCATTCAAGTCCTTTCCATTTCACTCCATTCCAATCAATTCGAGTGCATTCCACTCCATTTCATTCCCCTCTAATCCATTCAATTCCATTCCATTCCATTCAGGTCCATTCTATTCTATTCTCTTCGGGTCAGTTCCATTCCATTCCATTCAAGCCCTTTCCATTGCATTCCATACCATTCCTTTTGAGATCATTCAAATGCATTCCATTCCATTCGATTCTATTCCATTCCATGCCATATAATTCAAGTCCATTCGTTTCCATTACATTCCATTCGGGTGCATTCCATTCTATTCCCTTCCAGTCAGTTCCATTATATTCCATTCGAGTCCATTGCATTGCATTCCATTCCACTCCTTTCGAGACAATTCAATTCCTTTCCATTCCATTTGAATCCATGACATTCCACTCCTTTCGAGTCTATTCCATTGCATTCCATTCTATTAGAGTCCATTCCATTCTATTCAGTTAGAGTCCATTCCATTCCATTAGATTCCATTCCATTAGTGTCCGTTCAATTAAATTCCATTCCATTCCATTCGAGTCCTTTCCATTCCATTTGAGTCCATTCCATTCCATTCCCTTCGAGTCCATTCCATTCCATTCCATTCTCTCCCATTCCATTCCATTCCATTCCATTCAATTCCATTCCATTCCAGTACATTCCATTCCATTACATTCCAGTACATTCCATTCTATTCCATTCCAGTACATTCCAATCTGGTCCATTCCTTTCAATTCTATTCGAGTCCATTCCATTCCATTCCATTCGAGTCCCTTCCATTCCATACCACTGGAGTCCATTCCATTCCACAACATTCCTTTCCATTCCATTCCATTCTATTTCATTCGAGTCCATTCCATTCCCTTTGTGTCCTTTCCATTCCATTCCATACTATTCCATTCAAGTCCATTCCACTCCATTTCATTCCATTCCAATCCATTCCATTCCATTCCATTCCTTTCCATTCCATTCCATTCCATTTGGGTGAATTCCTTTCCATTCCATTCAAGTCCATTCCATTGCATTCATGTCCATTTCATTCGAGACCATTCCATGTCACTCCATTCTATTCCATTCGAGTCCATTCCATTCCACTCCATTCCATTCTAGTACATTACATTCTATTCCGTTCTATTTCATTTGAGTCCATTCTGTTCTGTTCCATTCCATTCGAGTCCATTACATTCCATTGGCATCCATTCCATTTCATTCCATTCCAGTCCATTCCATTCAATTCGATACCATTTGATTCTATTCCATTCCATTCCATTCATGGCCATTCCATTCCAACCCATTTCATTTGAGTACATTCCATTCCCTTCCGTTCGAATCCCTTCTATTCCATTCCATTCCATTTGAGTCCATTCCACTCCATTCATTTCCATTCAAGTCTATTCCATTCCATTCCATTCCATTACTTTCCATTCGATTCGAGTAAATTCCATTACATTTTGTTCCTGTCGTTTCCATTCCTTTCGAGTCCATTCCATTCCATTCCATTCGAGTCCATTCCATTCCATTCCTTTCCATTCCATCCCATTCCAGTCCATTAAATTCGAGTCCAAATCATTCCATTCCATTCCAGTCAAGTCCATTCTATTCCATTGCATTTGAGTCCATTCCACTCCATTCCATTCGAGTCCATTCCATTCCACACAATTCTATTCCATTCCAATCCATTCCATGCGACTCCATTCCATTCTATTCCATTAGAGTCCATTCCATTCCATTATAGTCCATTCCATTAAATTCCAATATATTCCATTTGCGTCCGGTCCACTCCATTCCATTCAATTCGTTGCCTTTCCATTCCTTTGGAGTTCATTTCTTTCCATTCCTTTTGAAATCATTCCATTCCTTCCCATTCTATTCCATTCAAGTCCTTTCCAATCCATACCATCCCATTCCATTCCATTCCATTCCATTGCATTCCATTCCACTCCTTTCCACTCGGGTACATTCCTTTTCATTCCATTCGAGTGCATTCCATTCCATTGCACTCCATTCTGGTCCATTCAGTTCCATTCCCTTCCATTCCATTCGCGTCCATTCTGTTCCATTCCATTCCATTCCATTCGGTTCCATTCCATTCCATTCCAATGGAGTCAATTCCATTCCATTTGATTCCATTCCATTCCATTCCATTCCACTCGAGTCGTTTCCATTCCATTCCACTCCATTCGTGTCCATTCCATTCCATTCGTGTCCATTCCATTCCATTCCATATGAGTCCATCCAATTCCATTCCATTCCATTCCATTCCATTCCATTCCATTCCATTCCATTCCGTTCCATTCCATTCCATTCCATTCTATTCCACTCCATTCCATTCTATTCCACTCCATTCCATTCCATGAGGGTTCATTCCATTCCATTCCATTCCATTGGAGTCCATTTCATTCCATTCCATTCCATTCCATGCCATTCCATTCCATACCATTACATTCCATTCGATTTGAGTCCATGAATTTTTTTTCCATTCCATTCAACTCCATTCCACTCCATTGCTTTCGAGTCCATACCATTCCATTCCTTTCCATTCGAGTCCTTTCCACTCCATTCGAGTACATTCCATTCCATTTGATTCGAGTCCATTCCATTCCATTCGGGTCTATTCTATTCCATTCGATTCCATTCGAGTCAATTCCATTCCATTTCTTTCGATTCCATTCCATTGTATTCCATCCCTTTCGAGTCTATTCCATTCCAATCCTTTTGTGTCCATTCCATTCCATTCCTTTCGTATCCATTCCATTCCATTCGAGTGCAATCTATTCCATTCCGTTCGATGCAATTCCACTCATTCCATTTCATTCAAGTCTATTCCATTCCATTCCATTGCATTCCATTCGAGTCCATTCCATTCCACTCGAGTCCATTGATTCCATTCTATTCCACTCGAGTCCACTCCATTCCATTCAAGTCCATTCCCTTCCATTTCATTCGAGTCCATTCCATTCAATTCCATACTATTCGATTCAAGTCCATTCCATTCCATTCCATTCTATTCCATTCATGTCCATTCCATTCCATTCGAGTCCATCCCATTCCATTTTATTTGATTCTATTGCATTCCATTCCATTCCATTCCATTAGAGTCCATTCCATTGTATTCCAATCCAGTAAATTCTGTTCTAATCCATTCGAGCCCATTCCATTTCATTTCATTCCATTCGAGTGCATTCCATTCAATTTGAGTCCATTCCATTCCATTCCATTCCATTCCAATCAATTCCATTCCATTCCATTCCATTCCATTCCATTCCAATCAATTCCATTCCATTCCATTCCATTCCATTCCATTCCATTCCATTCCATTCCATTCCTCTCCATTCCATTCCATTTTATTCCATTCCATTCCTTTCTATTCCATTCCATTCCTTTTGTGTCCATTCCATTTGATTAGAGTTCATTCCATTCGATTCGATGCCATTACAAACCATTCCATTCGAGTCCATTCCATTCCATTCCATTCGAGTCCATTCATTTCCATTCCATTCCATTCCATTCCATTCGAGTCCATTCCATTCCATTGCTTTCCTTTCGAGTCTATTTCATTTCATTACATTCCACTTGGGTCCATTCCATTGCATTCCCTCGAGTCCATTCCATTCCTTTCCATTCTATTTCAATCCATTCCATTCCATTCTATTGTATTCCATTCCATTCCATTCCATTCCATTCCATTCCATTCCATTCCATTCCATGCTATTCCATTCCATTCCGTTCCATTTCATTCCATTTCTGTCCTTTCCCTTCCATTCCATTCTACTGGAGTCCATTCCACTCAATTCCATTCTAGTCCATTCCATTTCACTCCATTCAATTTGACTCCCTTTCATACTTTTCCATTCGAGTCCATTCCATTGCATTCCATTTGAGTCCATTCCATTCCCTTCTATTCTTTTCTATTTGTGAGCATTCAATTCCACTCCTTTAGAGTCCATTCCATTAAATTCCAATCTATTCCATTCGTGTCCTTTCCATTCCATTCCATTCCATTCGTGGCCTTTCCATTCCATTGGACTCCATTCCATTTCATTCCTTTTGAATTCTTTCCATTCCATCCAATTCTGTTCCATTGAAGTCCATTCCAATACATACCATTCCATTCCACTGCATTCCATTCCATTCCATTCCGTTCCGTTCCGTTCCATTCCATTCCATTCCATTCCATTCCGTTCCATTCTGTTCCATTCCATTCCATTCCATTCCATTCCATTCCATTCCATTCCGTTCCATTCCATTCCATTCCATTCCTTTTGGGTCCATTCCATTTCATTAGAGTCCATTCCATTCCATTTGATGCCATTACAAACCATTCCATTCGAGTCCATTCCATTCCATTCCCTTCGATTCCTTTCAATTCCATTCCATTCAATTCGAGTCCATGCCATTCCATTCCATTCGTTTCCTTTCGAGTCTATTCCATTTCATTACATTCAACTTGCGTCCACTCCATTGCATTCCATTCGTGTCCTTTCCATTCCATTCCATTCGATTTCAATCCATTCCATTCCATTCTATTCCATTCCATTCCATTCTATTCCATTCCATTCCATTCCATTCCATTCCATTCCATTCTATTCCATTCCATTCCACTACATTTCATTCCTTTCCTGTCCTTTCCCTTCCATTCCATTCTATTCGAGTCCATTCCACTCAATTCCATTCTAGTCCATTCCATTCCACTCCATTCAATTTGACTCCATTCCATTCTTTTCCATTCGAGTCCATTCCATTGTATTCCATTCGAGTCCATTCCATTCCATTCCATTCTTTTCCATTTGAGAGCATTCCATTCCATTCCTTTAGAGTCCATTCCATTCCATTCCATTTTTTCCATTTGAGAGCATTCCATTCCATTCCTTTAGAGTCCATTCCATTAAATTCCCATCAATTCCATTTGAGTCCATTCTATTCCATTCCATTCAATTTGTGGTCTTTCCATTCCATTGGACTACATTCCATTCCATTCCTTTTGAATTCTTTCCATTCCATCCCATTCTATTTCATTGAATCCATTCCAATCCATACCATTCCATTGCATTGCATTGCATTGCATTGCATTCCATTCTATTCCATTCCATTCCGTTCCATTCCATTCCATTCCATTCCATTCCACTCGATTCCATTCGGGTCCATTCCCTTCCATTCCATTCGAGTGCATTCCATTCCATTTGACTCCATTCCTGTCCACTCCATTCGAGTCCATTCCATAACATTACATTCCATTCGACTCCATTCCTGTCCACTCCATTCGAGTCCATTCCATAACATTACATTCCATTCGATTTGAGTCCATTAAATTCCTTTTCCTTCAATTTGAGTCCATTCCCTTCCTATGCGTTCGAGTCCATTCCATTCCATTCCGTTCTAATCGAATCCATTCCTCTCTATTCCATTTGAGTCAATTCCATTCCATTCCATTCTTGTGCATTCCATTCCATTCCATTCCATTCCATTCCATTCCACTCGAGTAGTTTCCATCCCATTTACTTCCGTTCAAGTCCATTCTATTCCGTTGGAGTTCATTGCATTCAATTCCATTCAAGTCAATTCCATTCTATTCCATTCGAGTACATTCCATTCTATTCCTTTCCATTCTAGTTCATTCCATTCCATTCGAATCCACTCCATTCTATTCCATTCAATTCCAATCCATTCCATTCCATTCTGTTCCATTCCTTTCCATTCCATTCCATTCCAATCCATTCCATTCCATTACTCTATGTTTCATTTCATTGCATACCACTCCAATCCAAACCATTCGAGTCCATTCCATTCCATTCCATTCCATTCCATTCCATTCCATTCCATTCGAGTCCAATCCATTCCATTCCATTCCATTCCATTCCATTCCATTCCATTCCATTGGAATCTATTCCATTCCATTGCACACCCTTTGAGTCCACTCCACTAAATTCCATTCCATTCGAGTCCATTCCATTCCTTTCCATACCATTCCAATCAATTCGATTCCATTCCATTACATTACATTTGGGTACATTCCGTTTCATTCGAGTCCATTCCTTTCCATTCCATTCCATTCGAGTCCCTTTCATTCCATTCCACTCCATTCCATTCCATTCCATTCCAATCCATTCATTTCGGGTCCATTCAATTCAACTACATTCCATTCGTGTCTATTCCATTCCATTCCATTCCATTGCATTCCATTCCATTCCATTCCATTCCTTTCCATTCCTTTCAAGTCCATTCCATTCCATTCCTTTCGAGTCCTTTCCATTCCATTCCATTCGAGTCCATTTCATTCCATTCCATTCCATTCCATTCGAGTTCATTCCATTCCGTTACATTCCATTCCATTCCATTCGAGTCCACTCAATTCCATTCCATTCCATTAGAGTCCATTCCACTGCATTCTGTTTGAGTCCATTCCTTTCAATTCGAGTATATTCCAATTCATTGCATTCGATTCCATTCCATTCCATGCTACTCCATTCCATTCCATTCCATTCCATTCCATTCGGGTCCATTCCATTCCATTCGAGTCTATTCCATTCCATTCCACTCCATTTGGTTCCATTCCATTCCATTCCTTTCCGTAATATTCCATTCCATTTGTGTGCATTCCATACCATTCCATTCGCATCCTTTCCATTCCATTCCATTCCATTCCATTTGAGTCCATTGCATTCCATTCGAGTCCATTCCATTCCATTCCATTCGAGTCTATTGCATTCCATTCCATCAATTCCATTCCTTTCGGATCCATTCAATTCAACTGCATTCCGTTTGTGTCCATTCCATTCCATTCCATTCCATTCCATTCCATTCCATTCTTGTCCACTCCATTCCATTCCAATCAATTCGAGCACATTTCTCTCCATTCCATTCCATTCCATTCGAGTTCATACCATTCCGTTACATTCCATTCCATTCGAGTTCATACCATTATGTTACATTCCATTCCATTCGAGTATATTAAATGCCATTGCATTCAATACGAGTCCTTTCACCTCCATTCCGTTTGAGTCCATTCCATTCCATTCGAGGCCATTCCATTCCATTGCATTCGAGTCCATTCCATTTCATGCTATTCCATTTCAGTCCATTCCATTCCATTCCATTCCATTCGAGTCCTTTCCATTCAAATCCATTCCATTCCATTCCATTCCATTCTATTCCTTTCCATACTTTTCCATTTCATTCCGTTCCATTTGAGCCCATTCCATTCCATTGCATACCATTCGAGTCCATTCCATTCCATTCCATTCCATTCCATTCCATTCCATTCCATTCCTTTCGGATCCATTCCATTCAATTCCATTTTAAACAATTCCATTCCATTCAATTCGACTCCATTGTATTGCATTCCATTCCATTACAGTACATTCCATTCCATTCCATTCGAGTCCATTCCATTGTATTCCATCCCACTCCTTTTGAATCCATTCAATTCCATTCCATTCCATTCAAGTCCATTCCATTTCATTCAATTTGATTCCATTCCATTGCATTCCATTCCATTCGAGTGTATTCCATTCTCTTCCATTCAAGTCCATTCCATTCCATTCCGTTAGAGTCCATTCCATTAAATCCCAGTGTATTCCATTCGAGTACATTCCATTCCATTCTGTTCCATTCATGTCCATTCCATGCCATTCGAGTCCATTTCATTCCATTCCCGTCGAGTCCATTCCATTCCATTCCATTCCATTCTGTTTCATTCAAGTACATTCCTTTCCATACCATTCCATTCCATTCCATTCCATTCCATTCCATTCGAGTCCATTCCATTCCATTCCACTCCATTCTGGTCCATTCCATTCCATTCTATTCCATTCGAGTCCATTACTTTCCATTGCATTCAATTCCATTCGTGTCCATTCCATTCCATTCCATTGCATTCCATTCCTTTCGAGTCCATTATATTCCACTCCGTTCCATTCCATTCCATTCCATTCGAATCCACTCCATTGCACTCCAGTCATTTCCTTTCCATTACATACCATTCGAATCCATTCCATTGCATTCCATTCCATTCCATTCCATTCCATTCGTGTCCATTCCATTCCATTCCATTTGAGTCCAATCCATTGCATTCTATTACATTCTAGTCTATTCCATTCCATTCCATGACAGTCCATTCCATTAGAGTCTAATCCAATAAATTCCATTCTATTCCAATCGAGTGCATTCCATTCCATTCCATTTCATTCGAGTCCATTCCATACCATTCTTTTCGAGTCCATTGCATTCCATTCGAGTCCATTCCATTTCATTCCATTCCATTTCATTCCATTTGTGTCCATTCCATTCCATTCCATTCCACTCGGGTCCATTCCATTCCGTGCCATTCTTGTCCCTTCCTTTTGATTTGAGTCCCTTCCATTCCATTGCATTCCATTCGAGTCCATTCCATTGCATTCCATTTCTTTCGAGTCCATTGTATTCCACTCCATTCCATTCTAGTCGATTCCAATCCACTCCATTCCATTCAAGTCCAATCCATTCCATTCGAGTCCATTCCATTCTATTCCATTCCAATCCATTCCATTCCATTCCATTCCTTTTGACTCAATTCAATTCATCTGCTTTCCATGCAAGTCCATTTCATTCCATTCCATTCCAGTCCATTCAATTCCATTCCATTCTCTTCCATTTGAGTCCATTCCATTCAATTCCATTCCATTCAAGTCCATTTCATTCAAGTCCATTCCATTCCATTTCAGTCCTTTCTATTCCATTCCACTGGAGTCCATTCCATTCCATTCCATTCGAGTCCATTCCACTCCATTCCATTCCAATCCATTCGAGTCCATTCCATTCCAATCCATTCCTTTCGGATCCATTCCATTCAATTCCATTTGATTAAATTCCATTTCATTCCATTCGAGTCCATTCAATTGCATTCCATTCCATTTCTTTTGAGACAATTCAGTACCATTCCATTCAATTTCAGTCCATTCCACTTCATTCCATTCCAGTCCATTCCATTGCATTCCATTCCAATCGAGTCCATTCCATTATATTCCATTCGATACGATTGTTTGCATTCCATTAGATTCTATTCGATTAGACTCCATTCAATTAAATTCCACTCCATTCCATTCGAGTCCATTCAATTCCATTGGAGTCCATTCCATTCCATTGCCTTCAAGTCCATTCAATTCCATCATGTTCTATTCATTCCATTCCATTCCATTCGGGTACATTCCATTCCAATGAAGTATATTCCACTCCATTCCATTCCAATCAATCCATTGAATTCCATTCCATTCCATTCAAGTCCATTCCATTGCATTCCATTCTAGTCCATCACATTCCATTCCATTAGAGTCCATTCCATTAAATCCCATTCTATTCCATTTGAGGCCATTCCATTCCTTTTCATTCCATTTGAGTCCATTCCATTGCATTCCATTCGAGTCCATAGCATTCCATTCCATTAGAGTCCATTCCATTAAATCCCATTCTATTCCATTCGAGTCCATTCCATTCCATTCCTTTCCATTCCACTCGAGTCATTTCCATTCCATTCCATTCCATTCCATTCTATTCCATTCGAGTCCATTCTATTCCATTCCATGAGAGTCCATTCCATTAGAATCCAATCCAATAAATTCCATTCTATTCCGTTCTAGTCAATTCCATTCCATTCCATTTCATTCAAGTCCATTCTATTCCATTACTTTCGAGTCCATTCCATTCCATTCCATTCCAATCGAGTCCATTCCATTTCATTCCATTCCATTCCATTCCATTCCATTCCATTCCATTCCATTCCATTCCATTCCATTCCATTCCATTCTTGTCCATTCCATTCCATTCCATTCCATTCCATTCCATTCCATTCCATACCATTCAGGTCCATTCCATTCCATGCTTTTGTCCCTTCCATTCGGTTCGAGTCCCTTCCATTCCATTGTGTTCCATTCGAGTCCATTCCATTACATTCCATTTCATTCGAGTCCATTCCATTCCAGTCAATTCCACTTGAGTCGCTTCCAATCCACTCCATTCCATTCGAGTCCATTCCATTCCATTCAAGTCCATTCCATTCAATTCCATTCAAATGCATTCCATTCCATTAAATTTGATTCAAGTCCATTCCATTTCATTCGAGTCCATTCTGTTCCATTCCACTCCATTTGAGTCCATTCCATTCCATTCCATTTCGTTCCATTCCATTCCATTCCATTCCTTTCGGGTCCATTAAATTCAACTGCATTCCATTCCATTCCATTCCATTCCATTCCATTCCATTCGGGTCCATTTCATTCCAATCCATTCGTGCGCATTCCATTCCATTTGAGTCCATTCCATTCCATTAATTTTGATTCCATTCCATTCCATTCCATTCTATTCCATTAGAGTCTGTTCCATTCTATTCCATTAGAGTCCATTCCATTCCATACCATTCCATTCCATTCCATTCCATCCCATTCCATGCCTTGCCATTCCTTTAGATTCCATTCCATTCGGGTCCATTCAATTCCATTCCATTCGGGTCCATTCCATTCCATTCCTCTATGTTCAGGTCCATTCCATTCCTTTCCATTCCATTCGAGTCCGTTTCTTTCCATTCCATTCCATTCCATTAGGGTTTTTTTCCATTCCATTCCATTCGGGTTTTTTCCATTCCATGCCATTCGAGTCCATTCCATTCAAATCCATTCCATTCCTTTCGAGTCCATTCCATTCCATTCTATTCCATTCCATTGCATTCCATTCCATTCAAGTCCCTCCCATTCCTTTACATTGCATTGAATTTGGGTCCATTCCATCCACTCGAGTCCATTCCATTCCATTCAATTCCACTTGAGTGATTTTCATTCCCTTTCATTCCACTCGAGTCCAGTCCATCCCATTCGAGTACATTCCTTTCCATTCCATCCCGTTCGAGACAATTTCATTCCATTCAATTCCAATCCATTCCATTCCTTTCGAGTCCATTCCATTCCATTCTATTCCATTGCATTGCATTCCATTCCATTCTAGAGTCCATTCCATTCCATTTCTTTCGAGTCCATTCCATTCTATTCGAGTACATTCCATTCCATTCTATTCCATTTTATGGCATTTCATTTCATTCTAGAGTCCATTTCATTTAATTCCATTCGAGTCCTTTTCATTCCTTTAAATTGCATTCCATTCAAGTCCATTCCATACCATGACATTCTTTTCTATTTGAGTCTATTCAATTCCATTCCATTCCATGACACTCTTTTCTATTTGAGTCTATTCAATTCCATTCCATTCCATGACATTCTTTTCTATTTGAGTCTATTCCATTCCATTCCATTCCATTCGATTCAATTCCACTCAATTCCATTCGAGTCCATTCCATTACATTCCATTCCATTGGAGTCCATTCCTTTCTATTCCATTAGTGTCAATTCCTTTCCATTCCACTCAAGTCTATTCCATTCCATTCCATTTCATTCCACTCAATTCCATTCGAGTCCATTACATTCCTTTCCATTCGAGTCCATTCCATTCCTTTCCATTCGAGTCCATTCCATTCCATTCCACTCGAGTTGATTTCATAACATTCCATTCCATTCGAGTTCTTTCCCTTCCATTCGAGTCCATTCCATTACATTCCATTAGTGTCCATTCCATTAAATTCCATTCCATTCCATTCGAGTCCATTACATTACATTCCATTCGGTTTGAGTCCATTATATTCCATTCCATTCGAGTCCATTCCATTCCATTCCATTCCATTTGAGTCCATTCCATTCCATTCCATTCGAGTCCATTCCATTCCATTCCATTGGAGTCCATTCCTTTCCATTCCATTCGAGTCCATTCCATTGCATTCCATTCCATTCGAATCCATTCAACTGTATTCCACCTGAGTCCATTCCATTCGACTCCATTTCTTTCATGTACATTCCATTATATTCGACTCCGTTCCATTCTTTTCCACTCAAGTGAATTTAAATCCATTCCATTGCCTTCGAGTCCATTCCATTCCATTCAATTCGAGTCAATTCCATTCCATTCCATTCCATTCGAGTCCATTCCTTTCCATTCCATTCCACTCGCGTCCTTTTCACTCCATTCGATTCGAATCCCTTCCATTCCATTCGTGTCCATTCCATTCCATTTCATTTGAGTCCAGTCCATTCCATTCCATTCTATTCCATTCAAGTCCATTCCATTCCATTCCATTCCATTCATTCCATTCCATTCCAGTCCAGTCCATTTAATTCCATTCCATTCCATGCCATTCGTGTCCATTCCATTCCATTATATTTGAGTCCATTTCATTCCATTCTATTAGAGTCCTTTGTGTTAGTGTCCAATCCGGTAAACTATATTCTATTGCATTCAACTCCATTCCATTCCACTCTATTCCATTTGAGTCCATTCCACTCCATTCGAGTCCATTCCATTCAATTCCATTCGATTCCAGTCCATTCTGTTCCATTCTATTCCATTCAACTCACTTCCATTCCATTCGATTTGCATTCCAGTCCATTCCATTTCATTCCATTCCATTCCGGTCCATTCCTCTCCATTCCATTCCATTCAAGTCCATTCCATTCGATTCGAGTCCATTCCTTTCCACTCCATTCCAATCAATTCTATTCGAGTCCATTCCATTCCATTCCATTCGAGTCCATTGCATTCCATTCCATTCCATTCCGTTCGAATTCATTCCATTCAATTCCATTCCATTTGGGTCCATTCGATTCCATTTCATTCGAGCACATTCCATTTCATTCCATTCTATTCCATTCAAGTCCATTCCGTTCCATAACATTCCATTGCATTCCATTCCATTCCATTCCATTCAGTTCCATTCCATTCCATTCCATTCAGTTCCATTCCATTCCATTCCAATCCATTCGTTCCATTCCACTCAATTGAGGTGCATTCCATTCCATTCCATTAGATTTAAATCCATTCCATTCCATCCCGTTACATTCGTGTCCTTTATATTCCATGTTATTCCATTCGAGTCCATTACATTCCATTGCATTCCTCTCCTTTCCATTTAAGTCTATTCCAATCCATTCCATTCCATTCGAGTTCAATCCATTCCATTCCCTTTAACTCCATTCCATTCCATTCCATTCGAGTCCATACCTTTCCATTGCATTCCATTAGAGTCCATTCTTTCCATGCCATTACATTCGAGTAAGTTCCATTCCATTCGATTCCATTACATTACATTACTTTGGGTCCATTCCATTCCATTCCTTTCAAGTCTATTCCATTGCATTCCATTGCGTTCCATTTCATTCCTGTCCACTCCATTCAATTCCATTCCACTCGAGTCAATTCCATTCCATTCCATTCCATTTCATTCGAGTCTATTAAATTACATTCGAGTCCATTCCATTCCATTCCCTTCCATTCGATTCCATTCCATTCCTTCCTAGTCCATTCCATTCCATTCCATTCCATTCCTTTCCATTCCATTCCTTTCTAGTCCATTCCATTCATCTACATTATATTCGATTCCATTTCTTTCCATTCCATTCCTTTCCATTCCATTCCTTCCTAGTCCATTCCATTCCATTCCACTCCATTCCATTCCATTCCATTCCATTCCATTCCATTCCTTTCCATTCAATCCCTTTCTAGTCCATTCCATTCAACTGCATTCTATTCGATTCCATTTCTCTCCATTCCATTCCTTTCCATTCGAGTCCATTCCATTCCATTCGTGTCCTTTCCATTCCGTTTCATTCGAGTCCAGTCCATTCCATTCCTTTCTATTCCCTTCATGTCCATTCCATTCCATTCATTCCATTCCATTAGTGTACATTCCATTCCATTCCATTTGAGTCCATTTCATTCTATTCCATTAGAGTCATTGCATTAGTGACATATCCGGTAAATTACATTCTAATGCATTTGACTCCGTTCCATTCCACTCCATTCCATTTGAGGCCATTCCACTCCATTCGAGTCCATCGCATTCAATTCCATTCTATTCCAATCCATTCCATTCCATTCAAGACCCTTCCATTCCATTCCATTGCATTCCAGTCCATTCCATTTCATTCCAATCCATTCGGGTCCATTCCTCTCCATTCCATTCCATTCAAGTCCATTCCATTCCATTCGAGTCCCGAGTGGAATCATCATCCAATGGAATCTAATGGAATCATCGAATGGACTCGAAAGGAATCATCATCAAATGGAATCGAATATAATCGTAATCAAATGGAATCGAATGGAATCATCATCTCTAGGATTCTATTGGAGCAATCATTGAATAGAATTGAATGGAATCACCGAATTGAATCAAATGGAAGAATCATGAACTGGAATCAAATGGAATCATTGAACGGGATCGAACGGAGTCATTGAATGGAATCGAGTGGAATCATCGAATGGATTCGAATGGAATCATTGAATGGACTCAAATGGAATCATCATCGAATGGAATTGAATGGAATCATCGAATGGACATGAATGCAATCATCATTGAATGGACTCGAATGGATTCATCAAATGGAGTCGAATGTAATCATCATAGAATGGAATCGAATGGAATCATCGAATAGCATCCAATGGAATTATCATCAAATGTAGTCGAATGGAATCATCGAATGGACTCGAATGGAATCATCATCAAATGGAATTGAATGGAATCATCGATTGGACAAGAATGGAATCATCATCAAATGGAATCAAGTGGAATCATCGCATGAAATTGAATTGAATCATAATTGAATGGAATCGAATGAAATCATCAATGAATGGAATCGAATGGAGTCATCGAATGGAGTCTGTTGGAATCACCATCGAATGGAACCGAAAGCAGTCATCATCGAATGGAATCAAATGGAATCATCAAATGGACTCATTGGAATCATCATTGCATGGAACCGAATGGAATCATCAAAAGGGCTTGAATGCAATCATCGAATGGACTCAAATGGATTCATCATCGAATGGAATCAAAAGGAATCATTGAATTGAATCGAATGGAATTATCATCGAGTGAATCGAATAGAATCTTCGAATGGACTCGAATGGAATCATCACTGAATGGATTCGAATGGAAACATCTAATGGCATCGCATGGAAGCATCATCGAATGGAATTGAATGGAATCATCGAATGGCCTGGAATGGAATCATCATCGATTGGAATCGAATGAAATCATTGAATGGAATCGAATGGAATGATTATCAAATGGTATCAAATGGAATCCTCGAATGTAATCAAATGGAATCATCAAATGGAATCAAACAGAATCATCATTGAATGGAACCAAATGGAATCATCAAATGGAATTGAAGGCAATCATCATCGAATGGAATCAAAGGGAATCATCGAATGGAATGGAAGGGAATCATTGTCAAGAGGAATCGAGTGGAATCATCGAATGGAATTGAATGGAATCATTGTCGAATGGCACGGAATGGAATCAATGAATGTAATTGAATGGAATCACCAGTGAATTGAATGAAATGGAATCATCGTCCAATGGAATCAAATGGAATGAACGAATGCACTCGAATGGAATCACTATCGAATGGAATCATGTGAAATTATCTAATGGGCACGAATAGAATCATCATCGAATGGAATTGAATGGTATCATCTAATGTACTCGAATGGAATCATCATTGAATGGAATAGAATGGAATCATCGAATGGAATCAAAAGGAATCTACATCGTATGGAATCGAGGGGAATCATTGAATGGACTCAAATGTAATCATCGGAGAATGGAAGCAATCGGAATCATCAAATGGACTCGAATGGAATTATCATCGAATGGAATCGAGTGGAATCATCGAATGGACTTGAATGGAATAATCATCAAATATCAAAAGCAATCATCAAATGAATTCAAATAGAATCATTGAATGGATTCGAAAGGAATCATCATCAAATGGAATCAAATGGAACCATTGAATGGACTCGAATGAAATCATCATCGAATTGAATCAAACGGAATCACCGAATGGACTCGAATGAAATCATCATCAAATGGAATCGAATGGAATCATTGAATGGAATCAAATGGAATCATCATCTAATGGAATTGAATGGGATCACTGAATGGACTCGAATGGAATCGTCATCAAATGGAATCAAATGGAATAATCTAAAGCACTCAAAAGGAATCATCACTGAATGAAATCGAATGGAATCAACGAATGGACACGAATGGAATCACCATCAAATAGAATCGAATGGAATCATCAAATGGAACAGAATGCAGTCATTATCGAATGGAATCGAATGGAATCATCGTTGAATAGAATCAAATGGAATCATCAAATGGAATTGAATGGAATCATTGAATGGAGTCAAATTGAATGATGGAATGGAATTGAATAGAATCAGCAAACAAACGAAATCGAATGGGATCATCATTGAATAGAATCGAATGGAATCATTGAATGGAATCATCATCAAATGGAGTCCAATGGAATCATCAAATGGACTCAAATGGAATGATCATAGAATGGAATTGAATGGAATCATCAAATGGAATCATCATCAAATGGAATCAAATGGTATGATCAAATGCCCTTGAATGGAATCATCGACTAATGGTATCGAATGGTATCATTGAATGGACTTGAATGGAAAAATCTTCAATTGGCATAGAAAGGAATCACCGAATGGACTCGAATGGAATAATCTTCTAAAGGGATCGAATGGAATCTTCGAATGGAATCGAATGGAATCATCAAATGGATTGGAATCGAATCATCATCGTACAGAATCGAATGGAATCATCATCGAATGGAATTAAATGGAATAATCATCGAATGGAATAAAAAAGAATAAACATCAAATGGAGTAGAATGGAATCATCAGCAAATGGAATCCAAAGGAATAATCATCGAATGGAACTGAATGGAATCATCTTCGAATGGAAGCAAAAGGAGTCATCATCAAATGGAATCGCATGGAATCTTCATCAAATGGAATCAAATGAAATCATTGTCAAATGGAATCTAATGGAATCATCGAATGGAATTGAATGGAATCATCATCAAATGAAATGAATGGAATCATCGAATGGTCTCGAATGGAATCATTATCAAATGGAATCGAAAAGAATCACCAAATAGAATCGAATGGAATAATCATCAAAGGGACTCAAACGGAATAATCATTATATGGAATTGAACGGAATTATCGGATGGAATCGAATAGCATCATTGAATGGAGTCGAATGGAATCATTGAACAGACTCGAATGGAATCATCATTGAATGGTATCGAGTGGAATCATTGAATGGACTCGAATGGAATAATCATTGAATGGAATCGAATAGAATCATCATTGGTTGGAAATGAATGGAATCATCATTGAATGGAATTGAATGGAATCATCAAATGGAGTCAGATGGAATCATCATCGAATGGAATCAAATAGAATCATCAAATGAAATCGAATGGAATCATCATCGAATGGACTCAAATGTAATAATCATCCAATGGAATCCAATGGAATCAACATCAAATGGAATCGAATGGAAACACCATCGAATTGAGTCGAATGGAATCATGATGGAATTGAAACGAATGGACTCATCATTGAATGGATTCGAATGGAATCATCAAATGGAATTGATTGGAATCATCATTGAATGGAATCGAAAGGAATCATTGAATGGAATCGAATGGAATCATCATCGAATGGAAATGAATGGAATCTTCATAGAATGGAATTGAATGGATTCATCGAATGGAATCAGATGGAATCATCATCGAATGGAATCGAATAGAACCATCGAATGTAATCGAATTGAATCATCATTGAATGGACATGAATGAATTTATCATCAAATGGACTCAAATGAAATCATCATCCAAGGGAATCGAATGGAATATTCGAATGGACACGAATGCAATCATCACTGAAAGGAATCGAATGTAATCACTGAATGGCATCGAATGGAATCATCATCGAATGGAATCTAATGGAATAATCGAATGGACTCAAATTGAATCATCGTATGGAGTGGAATGGAATCATCATCGAATGGAATTGAATAGAATCGTTGAATGGACTCGAATGAAATCATCATCAAATGGAATCGAATGGAGTCATCAATTGGACTCGAATGGAATCATCATAGAATGGAATCGAAGGAATCACTGAATGGACTCCAATGGAATCATCATGTAATGGAATCGAATGGAATCATCTAATAGACTCCTAAGGAATCATCATTGAATGAAATTGAATGGAATCACCGAATGGACACGAATGGAATCATCATTGAATAGAATCGAATGGAATCACTGAATGGAGTGGAATGGAATATCATCAAATGGAATCAAAAGCAATCATGGAATGGACTCAAATGGAACTATCAAATGGAATCATTGAATGGACTCGAATGGAATCATCATCGAATGGACTCAAATGGAATGATTGAATGGTCTCGAATGAAATCATGGATTGGACTCAAATGGAATTATCAAATGGACTCGAATGTAATCATCAAATGGACTCGAAAGGTATCATTATCGAATTGAATCAATTGGAATCATGGAATGGAATCGAATGGAATCATTGAATGGAATCGATCGGAATCATCATTGAATGGAATCAAATGGAGTCATCGAATGGAATCCAATGCAGTTATCATTGAATGGACTCGAATGGAAACATCATCGAATGGAATCAAATGGAAACATCGAATGGCATCTAATGGAATCCTCATCGAATGGAATCTAACGGAATAATGGTAAGGACTCGAATGGAATTATCAAATGGAGTCAAATGGAATCATCATCAAATGTAATCTAGTGGAATCATCGAATAGCATCGAATGGAATCATCGTCGAATGCAGTTGAATGGAATCATCGAATGGACTGGAATGGAATCGTCATGCAATGTAATCGAATGGAAACTTCAAATGGACACGAATGGAATCATCATCAAATGCAATCAAATGGAATCATCATCGAATGGAATCGAATGAAATCATCATCAAATGGAATCGAATATAATCATCCAATGGAAAAGAATTGATTCATCATTGAAAGGAATTGAATAGAATCATTGAATGAAACCGAATAAAGTCACCATCGAGTGGAATCGAATGGAATCATGAACGAATGGAATAGAATGGAACCATAGAATGGAATCCAATATAATCATCATTGAATTGAACCAAATGGAATCATTAAATGGACTTGAATGGAATCATCGAATGGACTCAAATGCAATCATCATCGAAGGAATAGAATGGAATCATCGAATGCAATCGAATGGAATCATCATCCAATTTTACCAAATGGAATCATCGAAGGGACACGGATGGAATCATCATTGAATGGAATCGAATGGAATCATCGAATAGGATTGAATGGAATAATCATCGAAAGGACTCGAATGGAATCAACATCAAATGGAATTGAACGGAATTTTCGAAAGGAATGGAATAGAATAATCAAATGTACTCAAATGGAATCATCGAATGGAATGGAACGGAATAGTCAATGTGCTCGAATGGAATCATCATCGAATGGAATGAAATTGAATCATCGAAAGGACTCGAAAGAAATCATCATCAATTGGAATCAAATGGAAACATCAAATGGACTCATATGGAATCTTCATCAAATGGAATCAAATGGAATCATCGAATGAACTCGAATGGAATCATTGAATGGACTCGAATGGAATCATCAAATGGACTCGAATGGAATCATTGAATGGACTCGAATGGAATCATCGAATGGACTCGAATGGAATCATCATCGTATGGTATCGAATGGAATCATTGAATTTACTCGAATGGAATAATCATCAAATGGAATCGAATGGAATCATCATCGGATTTAAACGAATGGAATCATCATCGAATGGAATCGAATGATTCATGAAATGGAATCATTATCAAATGGAATCGAATGATTCATCAAATGGAATAAGATGGATTCATCATTGAATGGAATCGAATAGAATCGTCAAATGTAATCAAATGGAATCATCATCGAATGGACTTGAATGGAACCATCATGGAATGGACTCGAATGGAATCATCATCCAATGGAATCAAATGGAATCAACATCGAATGGAATCGAATGGAAACACCATCGAATTGAATCGAATGGAATCATCACGGAATTGAAATGAATAGACTCATCATCAAATGGATTCAAAGGGAATCATCTATTGGAATTGATTGGAATCATCATCGAATGGAATCGAATGGAATCATTGAATGGAATCAAATGAAATCATCACCAAATGGAATAGAATGGAATCATCGAATGGACCCTAATGGAATCATCAAATGGAATCAGACGGAATCATCTCATGGACTTGAATGGAGTCATCGAATGGACTCGAATGGAATCATTATTGAATGGAATTGAATGGAATCATTGAAAGGTCTCGAATGGAATCATCATCGAATGGAATTGAATGGAATCATCGAATGGAATCGAATGGAATCACCATCGAAAGGAACCAAATAGAATCAGCATCAAATAGAATCGAATGCAATCATCATCGAATGGAATTGAATGGAATTTTCATCAAATGGGATCGAATGGAATCATCATGGATTAGAATCGTATGGGATCATCGAATGAAAGAGAAAGGAATCATCATCAAAAAGACTCTAAATAAAACAAAGAATGGAATCCAATGTAATCATCGAATGGAATCAATGGAATCATTATTGAATGGATTTGAATGGAATCATCATCAAATGGAATCGAATGAAATCATGGAAAGCATTCGAATGGAATCATCGAATGGACTCCAATGGAATCAACATCGAGTAGAATTGAAAGGAAATATCGAATAGAATTGAATGGAATCATCGAATGGAATCATCATTGAATGGAATCAATTGGAATCATCGAATGGACCCGAATGGAATCATTATTGAATGGAATCAAAAGGAGTCATCGAATGGAATTGAATGGAATCATCATTGAATGGAATCAAATGGAATAATCATGGAATGGAGTAGAATGGAATCATCATCGAATGGAATCGAATGGAAACATTATCGAATGGAATCGAATGGAATCATCAACGAATGGAATCGAATGGAAACATCATCGAATGGAATCGAATGGAATCATCAATGAATGGAATCGAATGGAGTCATCGAATGGAGTCCGTTGGAATCATCATAGAATGGAACCGAATGCAGTCAACATCAAATGAAATCAAATGGAATCATTGAATGGACTCAATGGAATCATCACATGGAATCGAATGGAATCATCGAATGGACTCGAATGCAATAATCAAATGGACTCGAATGGAATCATCATCGAATGGAATCGAAAGGAATCATCGAACGGACTCGAATTGAAGTATCATTGAGTGGAATTGAATGGAATCATCGAATGCACTCGAATGCAATCACCATCGAATGGAATAGAATGGAATCATCGAATGGAATTGAGTGGAATCATCATTGAATGGAATTAAATGGAATCATCATTGAATGGAATTGAATGGAATCATCATCGAATGGAATCTAATGGAATCATCATATAATGGAAATGAATGGAATCATCAACGAATGGAATCAAATG